>NC_000010.11:78324913-78476428 GCF_000001405.40 Homo sapiens
CTTTTCTTTGTTGGGAGACTTTTCATTACTAATTCAATCTTATTACTCATTATTGGTCTGCTCAGGTTTTCTATTTCTTCCTGATTCAATCTTGGTAGGTTGTATGTGTCCAAGGATTTAACCATTTCCTCTAGGTTCCCCAGTTTGTTAGCGTATAGTTGTTCCTGATAGTCTCTAATAATCCTTTGTATTTCTGTGGTATCATGTTGTAATATCTTATTTGTTGCTGATTTTATATATTTGGGTCATTTCTCTTTTTTCCTTGGTTAGTTGCACTGGTGGTTTATTGATTTTGCTTGCCATTTTATAAAACCAACTTTTTTTCATTGATTTTTTGTATTGTTTTATAGGTCTGTATTTCATTTAGCTGCTTTGATCTTTATTATCTCTTTCCTTCTGCTAATTTTGTGCTTTATTTGTTCTTGCTTTTCTAGTTCCTCAAGGTGCATCATTAGGTTGCTTATTTGAAGTCTTTCTACTTTTTTTGATGTAGGCATTTATTGTTATAAATGTCCCTCTTAGCACTGCTTTTGCTGTATCCCATAGGTTTTGGTATGATGTGTTTTTATTTTCATTTGTTTCAAAAAATTTTTAAATTTTCTTCTTAATTTTTTCATTGGTCCATTGGTTGTTCAGGAGCATGTTATTTAATTTCCAAGTATTTTTATAGTTTCTAAAGTTTCTTTTTGTTATCGATTTCTAGTTTTATTCCATTGTTGTCTGAGAAGATACCTGATGTAATTTTGATTTTTAAAAATTTGTTGAGACTTGTTTTGTGTTCTTACCTATGGTCTATCCTAGAGAATGTTCCATGTGCTGATGAGAAAAACGTGTATTCTGCCATTGTTGGATGAAATGTTCTGTAAATGTCTGTTGGGTTCATTTGGCCTAAAGTGCAGTTTAAATCCAATATTTCTTTGATGATTTTCAGTCTAGATGATCCCTATAAAACTGAGAGTGAGGTGTTCAAGTCCTCAACTATTATTATTTGTAGTAATACTGCTGTGGTGTTGGGTGTATATATATTTATAATTGTTACAGCTTCTTGCTGAATTGATCACTTTATCATCATATAATCATCTTTAAGTCAAAAATGATAAAAAGAGACAAAGATCATTAGTCTGTTTTATCTAACTACTCTTGCACACTTTTGATTTCCATTTGTGTGGAATATATTTTTTTCATCTCTTCACTTTCAGTTTGTGTGTATCTTTACAAGTGAAGTGAATTTCTTGTAGCAAATACATAGTTGGTTCATGTTTCTTTTTTCCCCTTTAGCCAGTCTGTATCTTTGAAGTAGGGAATTTAATCTATTTACATTTAAGGTTATTATTGACAGGTGAGGATGTATTCAAGTCATTTTGTTAATTGTTTTATCATTATTTTGTATATCCTTTGTTAGTTTCTTCCTCTCATTGTTTTTTTGCAGTTTGGTGGTTTTCTGTAGTGGTAATATTTGACTCATTTCTCTTTCTCTTTTTGTCACTTTTATATCTGGTCTACAAATGAGTTTTATACTTTTGTGTGTTTTTATGGTGGTAGGTACTGTTCTTTTCCTTCCAGATGTAGGGCTTCCTTGAGCATTTCTTATAGGCCTGGTCTAGTGGTGATAAATTCCCTCAGTTTTTCTTGTCTAGGAAAGATTTTATTTCTCCTTCATGTTTGAAGGATAGCTTTGCTTGTTAAAGTATTCTTGGCTGGCAGTTTTTTTTTTTCTTTCAGCTCTTTGAATATGTCATTTTATTCTCTCCCGTTCTGTAAGGTTTTGGCTAAGAAATCCACTGTTAGTTGAATTGGACTTCCTTATATGTGACTTGACTCTTTTGCTGTTTTTTAGAATTCTCTTTTTATCTTTGACTTTTGATGGTTTGGCTATAATATGCTTTGGAGAAGACTTTTTGAGTTTAATCTTTTTGGAGATTTTTGAGCTTCCTGTATCTGTCTATATTTCTTGTAAGACATGGGAAATTTTCAGCTATTATTTCATTAAATAGGTTTTCTATACTATTGCCCATATCTTCTCCAGTAAATCCTAAAATTTGACTATATGATCACTTTATGGTGTCCTATATATCATGTAGGTTTTTTCATTCTTTTTTCTTTTCTTGTTTTGTCTGACTGGGTTATTTCAACATTCTTTTGCTTAATCTAGCCTATTGTTTTAACTCTCAATTGTTTTTAAATTTTATTTATTGAATTTTTCATTTTCAGAATTTCTTTTTTTTTAAATTATGCTTATCTCTTTGTTGAACTTCTCATTCAGATCATAAATTGTTTTTCTGACTTATATGTATTGCTTCTCTGTGTTCTCTTATATCTCACCGAGTTTCTTAAATATAATTATTTTAAATTCTTTTTCAGGTGTTTTATAGATTTCCTTTTTGTTGGGAACTATTACTAGAGGCTTATTGTATTCCTTTGGAGGTGTCATTTTCCTTGCATTTTCATGTGTTTTTACATTGATATCTGCACATTTAATTTAATAATTACATCTTCCAATTTTATAGATTGGCTTTTGTAGGAAAAGACTTTTTTTCCATAGGTGTATCTATAGTGTTGGTTGGGTAGGGTGTTTTGGCTTTGATTCTGGATAGTTGCAGTAGTGTGGTCTTTGTATGATTTCTTCATCTGTAATCAGCATCAGTGGTGTTTGTGAGTTCCTCGGTGGCTTAGGCAGTGGTCATTAGTAGGGGCTGTGGCAAGACTTTACTAGGGACAGGGATGCTAGGCAGGCCAGTCCTTTGGTACCCAGTGGTGGTGGCAGCAGGCTGAGCATGCTGGTCCTCAGGCCCCTGATAGTGTATGTGGGTGTTGTTGGTCATGGGTCCAAGTGGGCCAGTCCTTAGGCCACCAGGCAGCTTGTTTGGATGCCAGAATTGGCAGCAGTGGGCCAAGTATGTGGGCATGTCTTTGAGCCCCTGGTTGGTGTGTGTAGTATTTATTTGTGGTGGCAGCAGTGGTGGAGGGCCAACTCTTGGGCCTCCAAGCAGCATGTGCAGGCATGAGCAGTGGTGGGCAGGTGGGTGCCAGTGGTGGTGGCAGAGGCAGACTAGATACACTAGTCCCTGGACTCCAGAGAGGCACACATGGGTGCTGGTGGCTGGCAGGATGGGCCTATCCCCAGGCCTCCAGTCAGTGCATTCAGGTAGTTGAGGTGGTCAGGACGGACCTGTCTTCAGGTCCCTGGAAGGTGTGTATGTGGGCACTGGGAATGGTGTACAAGGTGGGTCAATCCCCAGACGCCCAGATGGTTTGTTTATATGTTAGCAGTGGTGGCAGTGGGTGGGTCAAGCTTGTTGTCAGCTACTAGAGAGTGTGTGCTGGAGCAGACAGGATGGATCAATCCCCAGGATCCAAGACAACCCATGTGGATGCTGATGGCAGTAGCAGGCAGGGTGAGTCAATTCAGCAGGTGGGGCAGGCCTGTCCTTAGGACCCTGGAAGGTGTGCAAGAGTGCCAGTGGTGGCAGGTGAGGTGGACTGATTCCTAGGACCTTAGGTAGCGTACACAGATACTGGCAGTGGTGGCAGTGAGTGCCATGGGGTTGTCCTCAGTCCCTAAATGGCATATGCAAATGCCAGTGATGGCAGTGGCGGGTGAGGACAGCCTGTCCTCAGGCCCTAGGGTGGCACCCAGATGTCCCAATCCCTAGACCCCCTGAAGACACATGCAGCTAGCTGCCCAGTAGTTTTGCCACTGGAGTGGTCGGGGGTGCTGTCAGGGATATCAGCCCCAGGCAGTTGGCTCTTAGGAGCATGTGCTTCAGCTCCCTTTGTCTCAGGGGAAGCCTCCCTGGGGTGCTGCACCACTCATTCCCTGGGGTGTAGCACACTGTGTGGGCTGGAATGCTGGAGACCTGGCAGGAGTGGCCAGGTCCTGGCATCACAACGCTGCAGGTCTCTGGGTGGATGTGTGAAGGATGTCAGTGGGGCTCCAGGGATATGGAGATGCAGGGGATGTTGGGCCCCAGGACAGGATGCAGTCTAGTGGGTGCTAGGATCTCAACATGGCGCTGTGCTGCAGCTGATTGCATCTCGGGGGTGTGTGGCACCCAGCATGAGCTGTCTTTCTGGAACAAAACCTTCACACAGATTCCACACAGCTCCCTCTACTCGTCTCAGGGCCCACGAAGGCCAAGGGGCTCTCCCGTGGCTAGGATTGCAGGAGTCCATGATGTGGGCTACTGGGATCTCTCCTTACCTTTTCCTTGCAGTGGGGAGTTTATCCAGGCTCTGAGCTGATCCTGGCCAGGCCAGCTGCTTCACTTCCTTCTTCTTCCATGCCTCTGCGGCTCCCTGCTGCCTCCCTGCTGAATCCCACCATTCTCTCTTAGACACGTGAGTCCACCTGTAGTTATCTCCTCCGGTGCCAGGCACCTCTATTCAGACATTCTGAAGCCCTCTTGGTAAATGACTTGCTGAAGTATATGTTGGGCTTAATCCCAGCTCTGCCCCTAATTAGTTGTGTGGCCTTGGACAAGTCACCCCTCTTTCCCTAACCCCGTCCTTGATATCACAGCAGTTTACCACTGGAAGCATAGCTTCCATAGAGTCCACAGACCTGAATGTGAAATCTGCCTCTTCCATCTCTGAGATGCAGTGCTCTGAGCAGGATTTTTGGTTATTTTTGTGTGCATTTGATTTGTGTGTTTGTACTTTTTTTTTCTTTTTTTTTTTTTTGAGACAGAGTCTCATTCTGTCACCCAGGCTGGAGTGCAGTGGCGTGATCTTGGCTCACTGTAACCTCCACCTCCTGGGTTCAAGGGTATCTTGTTCCTCAGCCTCCTGAGCAGCTGGGACTACAGGTGCACACCACTACACCCAGCTAAGTTTTGTATTTTCGGTAGAGATGGGGTTTTGCCATGTTGGCCAGGCTGGTCTCAAGCTCCTGGCCTCCAGTGATCTGCCTGCCTTGGCCTCCTAAAGTGCTGAGATCACAGGCATGAGCCACTGCACCTGGCCATGTGTATAAGTTTTAAGTTCTCTACTCCTCTTGGTTTTCGTTAAGTATAAAATGGCAGTGGTAAGTGCCCACTTAGAGTCTGTCAGGACCACACAAGTATATTGTAGCAATAATAGCAAACATTTATTGTCTACTCTGTTGTCCTGGCTGTATTTTGCAGGTGCTGCTCCTCTCAATCTTTAAATCAGGCTGGTAATAGCATCTCTCATTTTTTAGATCAAAACCTAAAAAGGTGGGAATGAAAGAAGCTCCTAACCCTCCTGGCTTTTTTCCCAAAGCCAGGAGGCAGCTCCTGAATGGTGGATTTTGGACTACTGGTGAGGCTGTCAGCAAAGGGCCTGGCCCAGAGAGATGCTCAAGAGTAGGATGAAAAGACCGTGGGCTTCTTCCTCTGCAAAAGGAAAGGTTTGGGACTGATGGATGCTGAAAAGTCTAGATCTTCATAATCCTCAACAGCTTCACTGCCACTGCACACACAAAATGAGTGTGCCCTATATTTCCAGCCCTCTGATGAATACGAAAAGAGCCTGAAGAACTCATCTTCCTGGTCGCAAAGTACTTTAAAATATATAATCCCTCAATCTTAAACATACACATTTTATTGCTTTTTATTATACAATAATACATATTTACTATTGAAAATACAGATAAGAAAAAAGAAAATGGTTCATAATAATACTACCCAGGTTTAAAAAATACTATTCAGCCTTATGTTGAAGAATCTGACTCTTTTCCTATGCAAGCATGTATTTCAAGCAAAACTGGACACTTCATGTGTACCTTGTTTTGTGATCTTTTTTTCCCAAATTAATATATAATCAATATCTTTTTGTATCAATCTTCAATCCTTTCTTCTGTCACTTATTTTTAATGGTTAACAGTCATCTACTATATAGATATTCTGTAATTTATTAAAGTGATCCCTCATTCTTGAATACTGAAGTTGTTGATAAGAAAGTTCCAATCTTGTTGAGAAGACCAAGCCTGTGAGGAATAGTTCCATGAAATTACAATTGGAACTTGCTATGTGCTGAGTGGCAGAAATGCAATAGAGTTCTGAATGGAAGGAGTGGTTTTGGAATGAAGGATGGTGGGGAGGCTTTAAAGAGTACGTAGGGTTGGAGCCAAGCTTTGAGAGAGGGGCTGGATTTCCACAGGTTAAGAGATTGTATTCGAAATAGGAGAACCAGCAGCAGCAAAGGTGCAGAGCCCAGGGGTTGGGTAGGTGTTTAGGCCCTGGGGAGGGCTCACATAGGGGACCAGCTCCAGAGAGGGTTAGAAAAGGAGGACAACAGATTCTAGAGTGGACAGTAAGTGCAAGTCTGGCAAGAGTAAATTTTACCCTTTTGGGCAATAAGGAGCCACAGAGAGTTTTTGAGCGGGGTTGTGGCATGAGTAGATCTCGGTTTATGAAGTCACTGTACAAGCAGTTAGGGAGAGAAGAGAATAGCAGGAGATGGTATCCAAGGCAGGGAGACCTGTTAGAAGGTGGGGAACAAGTCCAGAGGAGGTGATGAGACCTGGATTCAGGGAGTGGCAGGAGGTGAGGGAAATGGGTTGGATGTCATGGCTGGAGAGGGCCCAAAGGAGGAGCCCCTGGGGCTCACGAAGAGGGGAGACTGCTGCCTGATACCTGGGGTCCTGGGAAGAGTTAATGGGCTGCCTGTGGACGAGCTAATTGGTCCTCCAGTGGGGCTGACTCATTCCAGCATCCAAGCCAGTCATTACTAATGCTGGGGAGGGAGAGAGAGAGAGAGAAAATAAAACAAAAGCCGAGCAGTGGGAATTCTGTCTGATTGAAAAGTTCCAGGGCTGGCCTCCCATTTCAGACAGGCAGGATTGGGAAGAGGGCCCTGCTGTGTGGGGGTGAATGGCAGGGGTGCGGCTGGCGGAAGTGACATTTCCATGATGCCTGCTTGAAACTCATCCATAACTGCCTTGTGGGGGTGCAGCTGGGGAGGGCTGGGTCTTTCCCTAAACAGCCCAGGTTTTCTAGTGACACCCAAGGCACACTCAGGGCAAGAGAGTGCGACTGAAGATGTCCACACCAGGGAGGAGAGGAGGACCAGCAAAGGCCAGGGGTGCAAGGTCTGGTTCTATTTACTTAAAAACTGGCTGAAATCTCGGTCCCTTTGTTTGCCATTTCCTTGGGTTTTTAGATTTTTAACATGCCATGGTCAATTTCATTTGCTAAGCGAGAAATCACTGGGAGCAGCCTTCCCAGCACAGTAGAGTAGGGCTGTTTGGGTACAGGATGTGTCCTGGACAGTGCCCAGAGGCGCTGGCAGAGGCGTAAATGGGTGTTGCCGGGTCCTCCTATCCTCTCTGCCTCCTCCTTGGTATGGGCTTCTGCTGCCTTTTTCTGCAGCAGTGGTGGAGCAAACACTGTCCAGGGCTTACAGGGCCCTGGTTCCTACCCGAACTCGCTGGGGCACTTTGGCCCAGATGATTCCCCAGTGAGGGTCTCAGGTGTCTTATCAGGGTTCCTCTGTTACTTGAAGGCAGACGGCTGAACCTGATAATGTTTGTGGCATTTTCCAGCTCAATGTCCCTATATAGTCATTTTTCTCCCATGCCACATGTTCAGGGAATGACATCTCTCATTTCTATCTGGTCATCAGGGATCAAGTGAAGGCCTTACCTTCAAGGCTGTGGGACTCAGCCCCAGCTAGACCCTGTGGGTCTAATTTGGATTGTAAAGAGTTTGTCCTCGTAAAAGGGTGCTTTCGTGTCCTCTGGCTTTCCATTTGGGATTTTAGTGGTCGGTAGGCACACATGGGGCCTTATGTTGTGTGGCAGCCAAATGAGCTGCATCTTTGGGTTGTAGGGCTTGGTGTGGGAGGGGTGCCACTAACACATGCTGTGCCTTGAGTTCTGCATGGGTCACATCATGATGTTATCCCCATGCCTCCCATGCATGGGTCACAGGCACCTCCCACTCATCTGCTGCCTAGGGCCAGTCCTATTGCTAACTTCATGTTTTGGGTCCAGGGCCTCCCCTCCAGAAATCCCACATATTGTCAAGGGGAAGCCAGCCTAAAATAAGGGCCAGGCCAACCTGAGGTGTGGTGGCTCAGGCCAAAGGGCTCCCCCTTATCTGGAGTGCATGGAACCCCTCCCTGTGAGGCTTATTTGGTGGCTCAGGCCAAAGGGCCTCCTCCATCTTGAATGCCTGGAATGCCTCCCTGTGAGGTCTCAGATCTGGATGCGGAACCTGAGGTGGGACATGGATGAAATGGAGCAGAGAAGGAGAAGGGGTGAAGCCTGGACCCTGATGGAAGGGGAGGAAAAGAACAAACTGGGGCTGCCATGACGGGGAAGGAAAGGCCCGTGTGGAGGAGCATGGAGCCATCTGCTCATGAAGGAAAGGCAGGGATGGGGCAGAGGTGTTGGGGCTTCCGTGCGACTCCAGAGGCCAAGCCCAGAGCTGTGTGTGGAGCCCATGAGGAGCAGAGATTTTCCAGCAAAGGTGCATTTGTGGGCCTCCAGATGGAGGCCCTACCTTCTCAGCAAGGGAAGAAACCCCTCTCTCTTTGACCTCTCTCCCCTGCACAATTAGAAGGTTCTGAAGAGTGACTTCATTATTGGTGGGTGAGTATATGTTTATTGGGCATCTGTGGTGTGCCAGATGTTGTGTTGAGTGCTGGGTGCAGAGGTAAATGGGATATCTGGTTACCGCCCACATGGGGCTTATAGTGGGGGAAGTGGGGGAGTAAGTCAGGACACACGTAAGCAAACGCTAGAATGGATAGATATTGTGATTAGAGCATTGGAGAGAAAGAACAGGATGTTTCAAGAAAGGACAGCATGAAGGACTGCTGTGTGGGATCAGGAAGGTCTCCGTGTGTGTGGTGGGGGGTGATGGTTAAGCTGAGGCCCAAAGGATGACGGGAGTTACCCAGGTGAAGGGTTGTGGAGACGAGAGCACAAGCGAGGGCCAGGAGGCAGCTGGGCTCAGGGCACTTAGGGCCCTGAGGAAGGCTGGAGTGGGTGGCAGGGGGCAAAGGGGGTGCTGAGGTGAGCCTAACAAGGGCTGTGGGCCAGGAAACAGGACTTTGTTTTGAGTGCGGTGGGAAGGCATGTGGCAGGCAGCCACCTTGAGGCTGGGTTTCCTTCTCTCAAGTGCCAGAGCTCAGTGGCTGCTTTCTGGGAAGCTGGTGACCAGGACGACTGGTGCATGGCAAAGGGCATCAGGAGACTCTTCTTTCCTCCTCCAGGAGTTGAGTTTCTCAGTCTCAAGCAGGCAGCATGGGAGGTCCCCAGACCTGCCCTGGAAAACTCCCCCAGACCTGAGCAGTAGGCAGCAGCTTGGGGGTGCTGGGTTCATGTCCACCCTGAACCTGTGAATGTGACCTTATTTGGAAATAGGGTCTTTGCAGATGTAATCAAGTTAAGATGAGGCCACAGTGGATCAGGGTGGGTCCTAATCTAATAACTGGTGTTCTTATAAGAAAAGGGAAATTTGGACACAGACACACAGATGGAGAGGCCATGTGAAGATGGATGCAGAGGTCAGAATGATGCTGCCACAAGCCAAGGAATGCCAAGGATGGCCAGCACCCACCAGAAGCCAGGAGAGGCCCAAGCAGAGCCTTCCCTGGTGGCTGCAGTGAGAGCACGGCCCTGCTGATACCTTAGCTTCAGACTTCGGACCTCCAGAATTGTGGCAGAATAAATCTCTGTTGTTTTAAATCACCCCATTTGTGGTGTTTTGTCACAGCAGCCCCAGGAAACAAATACACTGGGCCCAGGAAGGGGAACCTGGTGTATTAAGCCTGTCCCACATGCTGGCCCACCAGCATTCCTTATCTTGTTTACATGACAACTCAGAGAAGTTCCAACCATGCTCTTCATTTTACAGAAGAAGAGCTGGATGGTCAGAGAGGTGCAGCAATATATCAAAAGCCCACAGAGACACAATAACAAAGCTGGGGTTTGAGCCCAGGTCTGAATTGGCCCCTGATCTTTCTGTACCGCCTATCTGCAGAGCCTTGATGGAGAGTGATCCAAGAGGGTCAGACAATGATGAGGAATCAAGGCTCTGCAGCACTCATGTATTTACTGGTGGAATCCCATGCCCGGCATTTGTTTTGAGATGCCCTAAAAGAAAAAAGAGTAGGAATGGGGATAGATGAAAGAACAGCAGAGTGTTGGTAATCATAGAAGCTGGGTAATGGGCCCATGGGAGTTCATTGAATTATTCTCTTTATGTTTGCTCATCTCTGAAAATCTCCACAGCAAAAACTTAAAAAGTAAGGCCAGAGAGATGCAAGCTTAAACAAGGAAAAAGATTAAAAACTATGAGGGCTCTGAAATCAGAGAGCATAGGATTGGGATCTCAGCTTCGCCCTTCATTAGATGTGAGATGTTGGACAAGCCACTTGGCCACACTGAGCCTTGGTTTCCTCTGCTCCATGGCCTCTCACTAGGCAAAACCTCATGGGATGGTGGAGGAATCAAATGGTGGAATTCAAGTGCTCAGCCCAGTGCCATGCACATGGGAGGCATTCTAGAAATATTTGCATTATTATGGTTACTGAGTGTGCACCTTACAGCAGCTCAAGGGTCAAGACTCCCTTCTTTTTTTGTGAAATAGGGATGAGAATGAGGCTTAGAAGTGGAGGAACTCGTCTAAGATCCCAAAGCTAATAAGTGACAGAGACAGGCCTGACCCAGAAATCTCTCCCTGAGCTAACTGCTTCCATTACCCACAGAGCTACTCAGAGACCTGCTCTCATGCAGTGTTTAGGGCCTTTCCCACAAGGAGGCCAGCTTTCTTCCCCTTGGTTTAGGGATCAGGCCAAGGAGGGGAAGGAAGATGAAGCCGCCCCTGGCTGACCCTGGCGAGCTCTGGTCACTCTGTGTTTGCTCAGCTGCAGGGTGCAGGTGGCAGGAGCGGATGCTGAGCACCAGCTGACATGCTTTCAAAGGTGACAGGCCTGTGGTAATTGATGGTCAATGAGGGCCATGGCTCCATGCACACTGTTGGTTTAAGGATGACATTGATCTGACACACTGGCCACAGCAGAAACAGCAAAACAAAGGAAGGCCAAACTGGAAACAGGCCTGGCCTCCCTTGGCCCTGGCTGCCTTGGCTCTGAGCATTCCCAGAATGCTGTGCCCTGAGGTCTGGCCAGGATCCTGGTGCCCTGGAGCTCTGGGGTCAGCCAGGATGGAGGAAGTGCCCAAGGCCCCCACCCATCTGGGTGCAGGTCAGGGAAGGAGTGAGAAGGAGCAAAGCGGGAGCAACCTCAGAGGTTCCCAGAGCTGTGCCCACACACTGTTTCCAGCCTTCCCCTGCCCAAGTTTCCATGCCCTGGGAGTAAGGTGGAGGAGGGAGGGGCCTCCAGACCATGTCCCACACAGCACGGTGCATGCAGTGGATGTGTCTGCTGAGGAGAGAAGATGCAGGGGCCCTGGGAGGTAGGCAGGGATGGGCTGGGGGATAAGAGAGGCAAGGCCTGGTGGCAGAGGCCTGGGTGTGAATTCAGGGCTCTGGCAGGAAACAGAATTCACTCCAGATGCTTCCAGTGAAGAGACAAGGTCATTCTGTGGGCAGCATCAGGGAAATTCTCAAGAGATGAGGATGCTCTCAGTGGCTAGCAACAGTAGCACGTCATGACCCTCCCTAAGGCTGAAGGATCAGTGGGGGTGGGAGGGACAGTGCTAGCCAAACCCCAGGAGAACCAGACTCACAAAAGAGGGTGCCAGCAGCCACTGCCTGGGAGGCGGCCTGAGCAGGAAGGAAGAGGGGAGGAAATGCACAAGCCCTCTCCTTGCTCCTTTCCAGATCCTTGCCAGCTGCTGGAGGGAGCCACTGATGTAGTCAGTAGGGGCCACCTCCCAGGCTGGAGCAGGGCAGGGAAGGGCAAGGAATGGAGAGGCAGCCTGGGTAGAATAGAGAATACCAGCACACCTCTTTTCTTTCCCTACAATGACGACTGTCATACACACTGCACAAACCCAAGGGGAGGATTATTGATAAGGCGTGTGACAGTCCCAGCACAAGGCCCCTCATGTGCTAGCCTTGACAGACGGTAGCTTCAAACTCTCCATCTCTCTTTTTTTCAAATGTGCACACACACACTCCACATTTCCTCAAATCTCTGAATGGCTGTCATAAGGAAGAAGGAGCGAACATGTTCTGGGAGGGCCAAGGGGGAGCCCGAGGACAAATTGTGTAGCTGTCAGAATTCTGTGGCTCCTGGAATAGGCATGCCCCAGGGGCACTGCCTCCTGCCATGGGAAGCATGGTGCTCTTAACATGTGCCTGCTGTGTGTGAGTGCAGCTCATGTCACATGCTCCCCATCCTCCAATCCACACCAGCTCTCAGGGCAGCTGATGGTCATGCCTTCGCTTTGCAGGTGAGGATGCTGGCCTCAGAGGGACGGGTGCTTGCCCAAGGTTGTCCTGGAGCCAGGCTATATCAATCAGGATAGGCCAGGTTTTGCTGCTGTAACAACCCCCAGAGCTCGGTGGGTCAAGACAATATGGGCTTGGCTCCTGCTCATGTTACCTGTCCATCAGGGGTCAGCTGGGGGCTCTGCATTTCACCATCCTTCCTCTGGGACCTAGGCTGTCAAAACTGTAGCCATCTGAGATATTGTTCTCACGCTGGAGATTTTATTTGGTCTGGAGGTCACGCACGTCACTTCTGCTTACAATTCGTTGGTCAGACTGGTCACATGCCCCTATCCAAGCAAAGGGGCCAGGATGGTCAGTCCTACTACGTGTCCAGAAGGTGGAGAGCTGGAACTATTAGAAGAACAGCATTAGTGGCTGCTACATGAGCCATGGCTTCCTTTCAGGCCTAGGGAACTCCAGGTGCAGAGCTCTTCCTGCTGCTCCAAGGTTGACGTCACCCTGGCAGAGGCTGGTGGAGTGCCATGGCACAGTGGGAAAGGCTAGAGCAGGGGCTGTCTCAGATTCTTGTGGGCTCATTCTGTGGCCACCTAAGTAGGATGCTGAGGAAGTCAGCAGATCTCAAGAAAGATGGCCCTGGGCCGTCAGAGCAAGATCAGGAGAGGCAGCATGTAGTGCAGAGAGGAGAGGGCTTGGTACCTCCCAGGACCCTGAGCTTCCTGTCTCCACTCTCCTGGGCCACACATGGAGAGCCCTTCGCTGCTTATGGAGGCGGGATCCCTTTCGGAGGCTGTCTTTCCAGCTGCAAGTGCTCTGGGCAGGCTGGAAACGGTGTTCTGAAGAGCCGCATGAGGCCATTTCATCAGAGTGCTACTCAGGCTGCTAGAAAACTGGCCACAGAGCCATTCTTCTTCCACAACCCCTGACTGCAACTAGATGGAATTTATGTACTTGTCATCCCCATTCGGTGGCCAGGCTGGGGAAGGAGAGGAGTGTGATTCTACACAGTGGACTCCACAGAGAGAGGAGGTGAGTGGAGTCAGTCTTTCTGGAAGCCCTGCCCTGTGCTTGGCCCTAGAAGGGCACCACGCTGCTGGTTGCTGCCACATGCATTAGCTCCTGTCGCTCTCCCCTCCCTGGCCACCCTGCTTCACACACTTTCACTCTTCTTGAGGAAGCTGTGTTCCCTGCCTTGTGGACTCCATTTCTGCATCTCCCAAGCCACCAATGACTCCTCTTACACGATCTTGCAGAAGCACTCAACACGGCTGGCCATTTTTGATTTCATTCTGTTTTATTCTTCTGTGCCGTCACACTCTCTTGCTACCCATCTGTGGAATATTCTTTCTCTCTCCATCTGGCCCCTGGGTGCCTGTGGTCTGCAGACCTCCATGCACAGTTCATATTTTCTCTTTTTGGCCGTCTAATCCCTACCATGAGCTTCTGCAGCCCATCATTGATGAATCCCAAACCCAGACCTCTTTCTGGAATTCAAGGTATGTTCATCCATGTGCCTAGCTGACATGTCCACTTGGATATCCAACAAGCTCCTACAACTGAACATGGGCCTTTCCCCCAAATTGTCCTTGTGTCCAGTCATTCTTGTTTCAGTCAATGGCGTACTTATCCACCAACCGTGGAAGCCAGAAACTCGAGAGCCCTCCCAGCTTCCTTCCTCTGCCTGTCTCCAGAGTAGGTCCTGAAGCCTGACCTCCTCCATAGCCACCACCACCATCTCCAACCTGGAATAGGACAGCAGGCTCTTTGGTACCTTGTTCCCTTCAATCCATCTCCCTGCTGCCACAGGGATTTACAAAAATCTGGTCCAAAAAATTCCCTAATTCTTAAAACGTTCAAGGGTCCCTTTACCCCAGTTTTAAATCCAAACTCCTGAACAGGGCACCTTTATGATCCAGGCTCCTGTCCCTTCTGCAGCCTCTTCTCTCCCCTACCCTGCACCCCATGCCCAACTCTGTCCCTTTGCACACTCTCTGTTTGTCCTGCAATGCCTTTCTCTGCCTCCTCTCTGTTTGGATGGCTAATTCCTTCTCAACTTTTCCAACTCAGTTAACATATCATTTGTTTTAGGAAGCTTTTCTTAACGTCCCCAAAGCAAGTGTGCCTCCTCCACATTCTTGTAGACTCCTGTATGTAAACACCCTATGGGAAGGCAGAGGGGGTGCTGCCCCTCCTCTCCCGAGTGTTTTTGGAGGGCAAGCTTGAGTCCAGAGCCCAGCACAAGGCTTATCTGGCAGTCAATCAATTCTTGTGAATAAATAGGCAAGTTGGCCTGCCCCCAAAGTCCCTCAACAGTGGCCTCAAATCACAGAGGGACCTTGGAAATCATGTAGCCTAATGATTCATTCCGCAGACGAGAACTGTGAGGTTCTTCAAGGAGGTGAAAGTTCTCAGTGAAGGAGTGAATATTGAATCTAGATTGGTGAACTTCCAAACAAAGACCACTTTTATTTTTTAATATTGTACTATGTAATGGAGAGTTTATTTCTCTTGTTGACTTTATACAGAAGCACTGAAAGTTCATGTGAAATCATTCATCAAATACAGACAAGCAAAAAGAGAAAAGATAGAATTTGCTTAGTAATTGTACCACCAAACCAGAGATAACCATTGCTGATTGCTTGGCATGTTACCTTTCCATCTTTTCCCTGGGCAGATAAATATATGTCCATTTTTAAAAACAATACTATGATTGCACTACAAATCTGTTTCACCCATGCTTTAAACATATTTATAAATCCCTATTCATATTTGTCAAAGACTGTATAGTTTTAATGTTTTTAGTTGCGCTACAATATAATTCAGTAATCAGACATGATTTTTGGATCTTGAAGTTGGTTCTATTTTTTTTGTTATTATAAACAGAGCAATGAAGAACATCATTACAGTGAAAAATTTGGTCAATTCTTAATTACTACTTTAGCATACATTCTTAGAAGTTGAACTGAAGTAGAACTGGTGGGTTGAAGGATTTGCACTTTTGTGCATTTTGCCAAATTGCCCTCCTAAAAGGCTGACTAATCAGAGTTTATATTTACCAGTTTATTGTCTTGTCAACCTGAGAGGAAACTCTTTGCACCAGAGATTGAAGGACTTGTCTCTGGTAGCAAATTTCCCTCCAGTCATATGTCTCAGTATGGAGGTTGTAAACTGGAAGCCATGGGCCATCTTCTTTTGAATCCATGATGTTTTAAAATATTTGAATTAAAGCCAGGTGCAGTGGCTCACACCTGCAACTCCAGCTACTCAGGAGGCTGAGGCAGGAGGATAGCTTGAATCCTGGAGTTTGAGGCTTCAGTGAGCTATGATTGTACCACAGCATTCTAGCTTAGGTGACACAGTGAGACTCTGTTTTTAAAATACACACACACATACACACACACATATAAAATGCTGGACGTAGTGGCTCACCTGTAATCCCAGCACTTTGGAAGGCCGAGATGGGTGGCTCATGTGAGGTCAGGAGTTCAAGACCAGCCTGGTCAACATGGTGAAATCCCGTCTCTACTAAAGATACAAAAATTAGCCAGGTGCAGTAGCGTGCACCTGTAATCCCAGCTATTCTGGAGGCTGAGGCAGGAAAATCACTCGAACCTGGGAGGCAGAGGTTGCAGTGAGCTCAGATAGCACCACTGTACTCCAGCCTGGGTGACACAGCAAGACTCTGTCTCAAAAAAAAATATATATATATGTATATATATACATACATATATATTTGAATTAACAGCCAACTTTTTTCTTTTTTTATTATTATACTTTAAGTTCTAGGGTACATGTGCATAACATGCAGGTTTGTTACATATGTATATATGTGCCATGTTGGTGTGAACAGCCAACTTTATGTATTAGTAAATTTCACCAAAAAAAAAAAAACAACCTGAATTTCTGGCCTCTACTTCTGAAGGGCATGTGCTGTCACAATTTGCCATAGTCTCTACCTCTCCCTGTTGCCACCCAGCCTGCTTCAGTCATTTATTTGCCAGGCCCCTCTAGGTGTTAGGATTTGTAACCCCTATATCAGTTCCTTTTCCCCATTTAAAAATGGCCCACCAGCATATAACACCATGCTCTTTATTCTGATTAACTACAAAATTAATTTTTTAAAAAACAAATCCTATTTGTAATAATAATATTCAGGTTAATCATTTAGGAAGCTGCTTCAGAGAAACCCCGAACGTCTTTAGCCAATATAAAATACCATGAATCACTTTGGACTCCACAGTGCATTATGTATTTAAAAACAGAAAATTAGACACAGGAGAATTCATCTTAACTTCATTAGATATGAAATATTAATTCTCTTCTGGGTTTCATATTATTTACATATTTAATAACATGTTAGCTACAGTCTTTGACTGAGAGCAATTAGAGGCCAGGGGCTGTCTCCTGCCTTAATCTTAAAGATGCCAAAATGTTTTGATATTGTGGGAAGAAGGGATTGCTAAGGAGAGTTGGATGCTGTTGCCTCCATTCCCTTGCTCATATGTCGTAATTGGTTAACCATGTATTTCTCTTAAACAGGATATTGATGACTTTGCCTGACCCAGTGAGAATTCCATTTCTCCATTCCCATCCCTTTCTCTGCTCTAGCTGGGAAGAGGAGATTGTGGCCATTTTGTTTTACTAAAACACAAAGACAAATGTTCATCCAATATTTTTGGATCCCTTTTTGCCTTTCTTAGGTCCTTTTAGAGCCTCAGTTTCCTCATAAGTAAAATTGGGGTAAAAGAACAAACGTGCTGGACTGTTGTGAGGGTAAAGGGGCTGAATGTGGAGGAACACACAGACCCATGTCTCACAAGGGGCTGCTGCCTGGCTGGGGGTAGGTCCTTTCTCGCTGCATCAGTGAACTGTGCCTTGGGCCTCTGCACTATCCTTGGTGCCTCTCTGCACCTTAGCATGCGGCCCCTGTCATCACGTCACCAAAGGCCCACATGAATGCTATCAGAAGTTTGCAATGATGAATGTATCTCTGGGAGCCACATCTGCAGTCATTGCAATGAGAATCAGGTGAGGCTCTTCAGGCCTTGGGAGGCTGGTGGGACAAGTTCAGCCTTGACCTGGGCCTGGGAGGGAGGGAGGGTTAGGACAGAGGCCCTAGAGAGATAGGGTGTGTATGATGAGTGCAGAGCATAGAGCTGGCTGGTGGTGAGCTTGGTGCAGAGGGTCATAGAGAACAAGTCAGCCTGGTGATATGGGAGTGAGGGGGTGGGCAGAGACAGGGCTGGGGAGGTTCAATAGATTGCTTTTAAGACCAGAGAGTATCAAAGTTATAAGGGACCTCGGGAAAAGCCTAGAGTCGGGGATCATCAACCGGTGGCCCTAGACAAGATCATGCCCGTTGCAGATATCTCTTTGGCTCATCTGATGTTAACTATTATTATTACTTTTGTTAATTTTCAAAATCTTTTAGATACAGCCTGCATTTTCCAGTTACCCCCAGTCTCCTCCACTCCATCCATTTACATGACTTACTGGTTCTAGCTTCCAACCATGCCCCTCTTTCGATTTGAAGAATGAGGGAACTGCAGTCTTACAAATAGAAGCTGCCTGCTTGGGCTGCACACTGGGTGAGAGGTGCAGCGTGATTCCATGCCAGGTTGCCTGTCACCTGGTCCAGGGACCTTGGAGGAGCTTGGATGGAGCCCTGTGGATAACAAGGAGCTCCTACAGGCCCAGAGCTGGGCATTGACGTCTGGGAATCCTGGGTATGCTACGGAGGAAATTGTGGGTTGCGGGGCAGGCACAGTGGTGGCTGGAGCCCAGACTGCTGTCTGGACCTCAGAACCCCATACCTCTCCATTAAGCACAGGCTTCCCAGGCAGGGGCTGGCTCACTGCAGCCAGCATTGTTACCTCCCACACTGCTGCCTCCCTCTCTCCCTCCTCAGCGGAGGGCCTTACGACTCTCTCCTCCACTCCTTAGTGGGACACTGAGACGCCAGTGTGTCTCCCAGTCACATCTCCACTTCCTGATAAAGACAGTTATCTGCAGAATCCCAGGTGGACTTTTTAAGAAAAGGGTTTCCCAGTTATTCTGGAATGAGACTTGGGTGGTTCACGGAGAACTGGGTGTGCAGAGTGCTCTCACCTTATACCCCAATTGAGTCTATCAGGATTAATGTCACGCTAATGAACACAAGAAGGATTAAGCATGATTTGTCACTTGTTGTAAAGTGCTTCCAGGCATCACCAATCCATCACAGCCACTCTCCAGAAACAAGAACCCAGTGAGTCTGTGAGATGCAGTCTGGGGAATCAGGATCAGGAGAATCGCTTTTTATAGTTAACCTGCCCTGGTGATGATTCCAGGAAGCAGTGGAGCTTGAGGCTGAGGCTCAGGCACACATGAGATAAGTATGACACCCCAAACCGTGCTGTAGGAGCAGTGCTCCTTCTTCCCTGAAATCCTGAACCTTTAAACACATCCTCTCTGTTTTCAGCACTAGAACCAGGGTTTGGGGGATAAAGGCTGAAGGGGAGTTTCCATCTTACAAATAGGGAAATTGAGTCAGAGGATCTATGCAGCCTCAAATCTGTGGCAGTTAGAGAGCAGTTCTAGTTCTGGCCCTGCTACCTACATGCTGTGTGACCTAGGTTTGGTTAAGACCCTTCTCTGGGCCCCGCCTGTTTCCCAATTCACAAAATGACAAGGTTAGAGTGGAAGATGTCTCCGCTAAAATTCTAACCCATCCCATGTGTTAGAGGGCATGTGGTTTTTTTCTTTCTTTTCTTAAAAAAAAGTTTTCTAAAACAGCTTTATTGAGACATAATTTACATACTGTACAATTTGCCCATTTAAAGGATACAATTCAATGGTTTGGGGTATGTTCACAGATATGTGTAACCATCACAATTTTAGAACATTATCATCATCTCAAAAAACCCCCTCTGTATCCTTTAACTATTACCTCCCTGTACCCCTGTCCTGCATCCCTACCCCTAAGAAACCACTAATCTATTTTCTTTTCTTTTCTTTTTCTTTTCTGGAGATAGAATCTCACTCTGTCACCCAGGGTGGAGTGCAGTGGCACGATCTCGGCTCACTGCAACCTCCGCCTTCCAGGTTCAAGTGATTCTCCTGCCTCAGGCTCCCCAGTAGCTGAGATTACATGCATGCAGCACCATGCCCAGCTAATTTAAAAAATATTTTTAGTAGAGACAGGGTTTCACCATGTTGCCCGGGCTGGTTTTAAACTCCTGAGCTCAGGCAGTCTGCTCGCCTTGGCCTCCCAAAGCGCTGGGATTACAGGCGTGAACCACCGTGCCTGGCCCCTATTTTTTATTTCTACAGATTTTTCATATGAACAAAATCATATAGTATTTTGTGACTGGTTTTTTTAACTTAGCATAATGTTTTAAAAGTTCATCCACATTGTAGCATGAATCAGTACTTCATCCCTTTTTATGGCTAAATAATATTCCATTGTATAAATACACCACATTTTCTTTATCTTTTTGTCCTTTGACTCACATTTGGGTTGTTTCCACCTTTTGTCTATTACACATAATGCTGCTATAAACAGTCATGTGTGAGTTTCTATATGTACATATGTTTTCATTTCTCTTGAGTATCTACTTAGGAGTGAATTGCTGGGTCATATGGTAGCCTTATAGTTTAATCAGTTGAAGAGCTGCCAGACAGTTTTCCAAAGTGGCCACACCATTTTAAACTCCCATAAGTAGTGTATGAGGGTTTTAATTTCTTCACATCCAACACTGTTATCTGATTTTTAAATTCCAGCTATGCTAGTGAGTATAAGTACTACCTTATCATGGTTTGGATTTGCATTTCCTTAATGACTAATGATATTGACTAGTAATATTGACCATCTTTTATGTGTTTATTGGCTATTTGTGTATCTTTTTTTGAAGTACAGATCTATTCAGATCTTTTGCATCTTTATTAATTGGGTAATTAGTCCTTTTATTATTGCATTGTAAGAATTCATTATATATTCTAGATTCAAATGTTTTATCAAATAATATATGATTTGCAAATATTTTCTTCCATTATGTGGGCTCTCTTTTCACTTCCTTGGTGGTGCCCTTTGAAGCACAAAAGGTTTTAATTTTGATGAAGTTCAATTTATCTGTTTTTTATTGCTTGTTCTTTTAATGTCTTATCTAACAATTATTTATCAAGTCCAAGATCATAAAGACTTACTCTTAGGTTTTCTTTAAGAATTTTACAGTTTTTGCTCTCACATTTAGGTCTTTGCTCCATTTTGAGTTAATTTTCGCATATGGTGTGAGGTAGGCATCTAACTTCATTCTTTTTTTTTTTTTTTTGAGACAGGGTCTCACTTTGTCACCCAGGCTGGAGTGCAGTGGCACGATCATGGCTGATGCAGCCTTGACCTTCCTGGGCTCGTGTAATCCTCCAACTTCAGCCTACCACTTCAGCCTCCTGAGTAGCTGGGACCACAGGTGCATACCACCAGCCTGGCTAATTTTTTATTTTTTGTGGAGACAGGGGTTTTCCCATGTTGCCCGGGCTGGTCCCAAACTCCTGGACTCAAGCAATCTGCCCACCTCAGCCTCCCAAAGAGCTGGAATTACAGGCATGAGCCACTGTGCCTGGCCTCTGACTTCATTCCTGGGCATGTGCTTATCCAGCTCTCCCAGCTCCATTTTGTTGAAAGGACTATTCATATTTTCCCACGGAACTGTCATATTGTAACCCTTGTCCAAAATCAGTTGATGATAGGTTTATGGGTTTATTTTTGGACTTTTAATTATATTTCATTGACATGTACATTTATTCTTGTGCCAGGACCACAATGTCTCGATTACTGTTGCTTTGCAGTAAGTTTTGAAATCAGAAACTGTGAATCTTCCTACTTTGTGCTTCTTTTTCCCAGATTGTTTTGGCTCTTCTTTATCCTGTCCAATTCCATATGAATTTTAGAATCAGTTTCTCAGTTTCTACAAAAAACCCAGCTGGGATTCTGATAGAGATTGGCTTAAATCTGTAGATTGGTTTGGGGAGTGTTATTATCTTAACAATATTAAGTCTTTCAAATCATGAACGTGAGATTTTTTTTTCTATTTATTTAGATCTTTAATTTCTTTCAACAATATTTTTTTGTTTTCAGAGCACAGTTTTACATTTCTCTTTTTAAATTTATTCCTAAGTATTTTATTCTTTTTGATGCTATTGCAAATGGAATTATTGTTTTCTTGATTTTATTTTTGGATTTTTCATTGACAGTATATAGAAAAAGGATTGGTTTTTGTATATTGATCTTGTATCTTGCAACCTTGTTGAACTTGTTTACTAATTTTAATAGTTTTAGTGAATTCTTTAGGATTTTCTCTATATAAGGTCATGCCGTCTTCATGTTTTGCTTCTTTCTTTCCAATCTGGATAACTTTTATTTCTTTTTCTTGCCTAATTGCCCTAGCTAGAATCACCAGTACAATGTTGAATAGGACTGGTAAAACTAGACATCCTTGCCTTGTTCCTGATCTTAGAAGGAAAGCACCCTGTCTTTTACCATTAAATATGAAGTAAGGATGGGCATAGTGGATCACACCTATAATCTCAACACTTCAAAAGGCCAAGGCAGGTAGATCTCCTGAGTTCAGGAGTTTGAGACCAGTCTGGGCAACTGGGCAACATGACAAAACCTCTTCTCTACTAAATAAATAAATAAATAAATAAATAAATAAATAAATAAATAAGCAAGACAGCCAGGTATGGTGGCATGCACCTGTAGTCCCTGCTACTTGGGGAGCTGAGGCGGGAGGTTGAGGCTGCAGTGAGCCATGTTTGTGTCACTACATTCCAGCTTGGTTGACAAAGAGAGTCCCTGTCTCAAAAAATAAATGAAGATAGCTGTGGGTTTTTCATAGACACTCTTTGTCAGACTGAGGAAGTTCTTTTCTATTCCTAGTTCATTTCATGTTTTTGATCATGAAACTGTTGATGTTTTTTCAAACGATTTTTATGCATCTATTGAGACGGCCATGTGATTTTTGTTTTGTTCTGTTGATATAATGTATTAATTAATTGACTTTTCAGATGTTAAACCAATTTTATGTCTCTGGGATAAATCTCAATTAGTCCATGGTATATGATTCTTTTTATACGCTTTTATATGTTGCTGGATTTGGTTTGCTAGTATTTTGCTGAAGATCTGATTATTGCATCTATATTTATAAGTGATATTGCTCTGTGGTTTTCTTGTCATGTTTTTGGGTTTGGTATCAGGGTAATACTGGCTTCATAAAATGAGTTGAGAGTGTTCCCTTCTCCTCTATGTTTTTGGAAGAGTTTATTAAAAATTGGTATTTGTTGTTTTCTGAATGGTGGAAGGCAGTGGTGAAGCGATCAGAGTTTGGGGTTTTCTTGTTGGATAGTTTAAAAATTACTGATTTAGTCTCTTTACTTCTTATATAGGTTGATTCAGGTTGTTTATAGAGGCACGTAATTTTGTGTGTGGGCCCTTACACAGTTAAAAGCCTTTTGTGGGGCCTGAGCTCCGTGGATCATGGATTACTGCAGTTACTAGTAAGTCCATAGGGGTCTTCTGGTTAGGTAAATAGATGGCTTAGACAGAAAGTGGGCTGTAATTTGGGCGTCTCAGTCCTCCAGAGCCTGGAGAAGATCCTGCAGGTGGGTCTGCATGCTGAGTGCGGCAGGCAGGGTCAGAGGAGAAGGGCTATTTTAGTGAGCTGAAGTGGGAGGGATGGGTGTATATTGCGATTCTAGCTAGAAGGATTGCTGTGGCAGGGCCCTCCAGCTAGTCCAGCTGGTGCCTTCCTGACATGTGTACACCCCTTCCATCCACACTCCCTCCCAAGTAGTGGCTGTGTCCCTAGCACTCTGGGAGTCGTTCAGCACCACAGAGGAAGGGAACCTCTCTCTGTTATTATCATGTATCCCCAGCTCCCTGTTGTGGGTGGATGTACATGGCAGGGGGTCCAGGTCGCCCAGAAGGTTCTCAGGATTATTTTTTGAATGGAAGAATGGTCAGAACTGCCTCTTGGTTCTTGTCTCCCAGCAATCCGCAGGTATACCTGGCCTGAAGCCAGAAAGCCAAAGGGGTCCAACTGTATCCAAAAGCCCACTTTTCTAAGTAAATGTGCATCAGGTGTCTTAACCATCAAGCATGGATCCAGAAACGCTTATCACTGTCTGTAGCATATGCAAAGCACTGTGGGAGATAACATAATGTGAGGTGTCTGGTCTCTGCCCTTGAGATGCTGACAATGTAGTTGCTGGAAAAACACCAGTGGATTCAGTTGAATGAGTCCTTAGATGGCCTCTCAGGCTCAGCCCTGTAATGATCACCATTGTTGTTCCTGCATTCCTGGTTCCGGTAAGAGTGCCCGGCATGCTGATGCTGATTGGTGCAGGGACTGCATAAGAAGGCCCTTCAGCCCTCTGGGCTCTTCTCATTCTCCACTTTTCTTGATGGGTGGTCCAATTTCTGAAAATATGCCCAGCTTCTACTTTGTACTTCTGCAATTGTCTGCCTCAGCCAAGTCATAACTGTCTCCTCACCACCCCCAACTCCTGGGACATTGTCCTGGCAGCCTTCAGCCTCTGGTCTCAGTCTCATACCCTCTCAGAAAAGGTAAATGGGATGCACACACACACACATGTGCACACACACGAAATTTCTCAATTCTCCCACCAAGTGGAGAGCCTCCAAGTTCCATTCCTTACCATCCACTGTGGCTTAGGGGCTGGAGATTTTGGTAGCCTCTTCTTGAGACAACAATTACACATCAATCTCAGAGGGAGGCATTTTGGAAAAATGCCAAAAGACTTGGCCTAGTTTGGCTGAGCTCACCTGAGAGCCGGGTGTTACCTCAGGCACCGTTGGAGAAATAGGCTCCACAGAGGAGCCACGGGGGTAGTTATTCTCTGTTCAGGAATTGGAGTCAGTCTCTGTTAGGTGTGTGAATGCTGAGTGATGGAGCAGGAAGTGCCATCCTTACCATCTCAGGCCTGGGCTGGAGTGTGTTAAAGGTGGCTCCTGCCTGCCGGGGGAGGTTGGCAACTCTCTCAAAGCAGTGAGCACAGATTCCACAACCTATCTTTGCGCAGTGCTGGCTGCTGATCTTGCGGATGGGGACTGAAAGTTCTGCCCTCACGCTCCTCTGGCATTTCAGTCCTGACCCAGGTGCCAGAGTCCTGGGTTGGCAGGCATTCTGGGCAAGCCAGAGATGGCTCCACTCTGTGAAAGGTCAGTCACTTAGTTGACAATATTAGGTGGTGCTGACTCTGTGCCAGGTATACTCTCACCTGTGGTTCTCAACCAGGGTCTATTTTGTGCCCCCCCAACCTTACCCACCAGGGGACATTTGGCAATGTCTGGAGACATTTTTGATTGTCACAGCTGGGAGGCAGTGGCTACTACTGGCATCTAATGCGTAGAGGCTGGGGATGCTGCTACACATTCTACAAAGCACGGAATCCGTCTCCACAGCAAAGAACAATCTGCCCCAAGATGTGAACAGTGCTGGGGTTGGGAAAGCTTGCTCTATACAGTGGGCTCCCAGAGGTGTTGGATCTGGACAAAATCCCTACCCTCAGAAAAGCTAGGCGCTAGTGGGGGTGGACAGATCATCTTAGAGCTGGTCCCTGTCCTCCAAGTGGTGTCCTGAAGACAGTTCATTTGTTAGTTTCCCCCTTGAGTTTTTTCATTCACTTGTTCAGCCTTCACAGGTTGAGGTTTTTTCTTGGGATACAGAAATGGCATGGATCTGGTGCTTCCCCTCAAGCAGCCCATGTCCAGTGAGGAACCAAAGCATACACATCAACACGCACATACACAAACACACACAAATGCATATATGCATGCATGCATAAGCACACACACGCATGTGTGCATGCAATTCCAACACTATGCAATAAGGGCTGAGGTGGATGAATATCTGGAGACTGTAGGTGAGGAGGGGTTTGTAGCTCAGCCTTGAGGGGTGTCAAGGAATGCTTCCTGGGGGAAGTGAGCTGAATTTTAAAGGACAGGGAGAATCAGTAGGGGGAAAAGCCATTCCCCTAAGAAAGAACTAACCCTCTGTAGAAACCCATGGGCAAGAGAGTTCAATTTCCTGCAGGCTCTGTGGAGCAGCCAGAGGCTGCTATAACCCTCTGCCACAATCCACACTAATTGCTCCTTCCTCCTGTGACAAGGCATCCCCTCTCCCCTCTGCCCCACAGCCCCTCCCCCATCACACCTTAAACTCATCTGTGAAATTGCATTTCTCACCCTCTCTGCCTCCAGCCCCTCCATCACTGCCAGGAGAGGCCATCAGTTCCCTGACCCAGCCCCAGCCCTCAGATGGGAGTCAGATGGTGCCCTCAATTATTTTCCTAACAACCAGGAGGATTTGGGGGAGAAGTAGAGAAGGAAAGGGAAGATAATGTGGCTTCCAGGGGCTTGAAATTGGACAGAGTGCCCTTTTATACCTCCTGACTGCCTTTGGTATCTTCTCTCTCATATGTAAACAGCATTAAACATAATGAAAGGCCAAGCCCTGGAAGGCCTTGCTATAGAGTCCATTGGGGAGAGAATCAAAAGATGCTCACAGCTGGCTGTCCTGGGAAGGGTCTAGTGGAAGATGCTAGGGGTCTGGGGTTAGCAAAAATGGATCTTTGTCATGGCTGTTTCATTGTCTTGCTGGGTGACCTCAGGTAAATTACTTCACCTTTCTGGGCCACAAGCACCTCTGCTGTGAAATTTGGAGGGAGCCCATCCCCAGGATATCGTATCACATAACAATAACATCTGGTGACATCACTGGCCTTTAATAGACAGGAGCAAAGCACGGAATTTGAAAGAAAATATGCCTGCATTTCTTCCTTCTCCCCTACAGCCCATGTTCCCCAGAGGTATTAGTGGCCACAGCTGATAGCTGATGAGTCCAGCTGAGGTCGATAGGATACATCAGCATTCTCCAGATAAGCTTGATGCGTTCATGCTCCCGTACCTTAACCTATGCCATTCTGTTGCCCGGAATGCCCTTCCTGCCCTCTCCCCACCCTTCCCGAAGGGGATATTCTATCAAGATCTAGCTAAGAAGGCCTCCCCTTTGGGACGCCTCCTTGACCTTCCCTGGTTGCTGTCTCTTCTGGCCCCCAACAAACTTTGCTTGCTCCTCTGTTCCATCTTCAATGTTTACTTTTGTGTCCCTGGCCGGTAACAAAAATCCAATAGCTCAGAGTGTGTCCCGCCATGGTGCGGCAACTCGCATTTCATCAGCAGGTGAGCTGTGACTGTCAATAAAATATTGCAGCTAATGACTTTGGCATGGATCTGGGCATTTCTATGCCGTGACTTCCCCCTTTCACTTGTAGCCAGGACACAGAGATCACAAGAGAGGGCTGTGCATTGGAAAGTTGATATTCCTGTGTATCTTGGAGGAGGAAAGGATGGACCCTGTGAACTGGCAAAGACTAGTTGGAGACATAATCACAGACACCTTCAGTTGGGCTCATTTAATTGCCACGGATAGAGACCTGCTCAAGCACCTGGAGAATACAAGGCTATCATGGGGTTCCAGATGCAGGACTTGCACCCTAGTGGGGCCTCACAGGATTGAGCCCAGTGAGGAATTACAGTGCTGTGTGGAGCAGCTTCTTTCTGTTCAGGTGTTACTGCTTCTCCCTGCACACTGGTTCTGCCCTCCTCCATCCTCAGATTGGCTTCCTCCTTCTGTTCATAACTTCCACTCCCTGGAAACTTGGATTTGTCAAAGCCCAGTTTGGCTGAGCTTCTCCATTACATGCCTGTGAACTTTGGGCTCCTGGCCCTTTTGCTACGTCTCACAGTTTCCTAGTTCTTTGGATCTCAATTTCTAAGAAAGGAATTTATAATCCAACTCAATACAACAAAGGTTGCTGGCCAACGAATGGATGCAGTACTCTTGGATCAGCACCAGGGCTTGGTGTCTGGTGGACAGGGTCAGGTGGTACAGAAGACGATCTCTTAGATAATGGTGGTTGGGGTGAGGCAGATTATTTTTAAGGGGGTTAGGAAAAAGCAGGGAGTATTATACAACACTGATTTTTATACATGAGTAGCTACTGTGTGGCATATGACAGCTAAAAGCATGTGAGGATGGATGGATGGATGGATGGATGAAGAATGGATGATGGATAATGGATGATAGAGTGGAATCTCTTTGACAGAAAGTTGAAATGGTTTTGTAGCACCACTTTCTAGATTATAGTTTATAATGCAAGAGAGGAGATCTCATATATATATATATATATATATATATATATACACACACATAATTTTATATATGTATAGATACATAGATATAGATATATTTAATAGTAAGTCATATCTGCTTAACCAGAGCCATACATGGCCATATGCTGTGCAGAGGAACCAAAGATGGATACCACATGTGGCTTTGGGGAGGACTAGTGTAAAGTCTACCAATGTCCAAGGCATGGCCTTGGTAGAAAGAGGACCACTACTGCTACTCACTGACCAAGTAGTCCTCTGGAGTGGACCAGGATCTTCTAGCCTTCAAAAACCCTTTATAACCCCCAAACAGCACCTTCATCCTGTCATCCAGGCTCAAGGTGAGTCATGTGTTCCCACTGTATCAAGTTGACACTCCCCATGTGGCATTGGAAGGTTGCATGTGTACAGCATTATCAGTCCCACTCCCTCCACTGCTTTGGCCACACCTCCTCCCTGCTATTCCACACACTGTCTTTTCTAGCTGCAGCCTTAAGTACTGGCCAACAATGTTGGCATGCTTAGAATACACCAGGTACTGTGCTTTTCTCTTTGCTCATATCATAGTGTTTTAAGCTTTACAACAACCCTAAAGGGTAGTGGTTATTCTCCTCATTTTACAGATGAAGAAACCAAGGCCCAGGGACTTCAAGCAACCATAAGCAACAGCCAATAAGCAGAAGAGCCTCTTCTGCACTGACTTGTATGGACTTCCAGCCTTGCTCATTTTCCTTTTGCAGCCTCAACCTTATCTAGATTTTAAGAGACAGCCCTTTTTGTACTTCCTCCCACCCCGCACCCTCACCTCTTACTCTTATTAAGTTTAAAGTGCAAAAATGATGCAATTAAAACCTATATTGCCTCTCGACCTTTTACTTGTGCCCATGAAATATCTAAGACCCGACATTCAGAGGTGAATACACACCTCTTCTTCTCACCTCCAGAGCTGGGCAATATTCAAACTCAACATAGACCAGTGGATGGAGAGGCGATTGTGGTGGAGGAAATAGCTATGGCTGGGTGTACATCCCTGGTTCTGCAATGACTGATGAGGCCTGCGAGTTCTGTATGGCACCTTGCCAGGCCTCTATTGGCCCTGCCATTGGATGGAGATGACCCTTGTGTCCTGCTGACCACACGGATCACATCATCCCCTCATCTAGCTTCAAAAATAATCTAATCAAGACATCTGTTAATTCTAAGCTCTTTCCTTCTCTGGCCTCTGGGGGCCTCAGTTCCCTCATCTATAAAATGGAGAGGTCTCTTTCTACCGGCTGGCTCTGCGGACTTGTGGGAATTGGTGCCAGGCATGGGGCTTGGGTGCTTTCCTTCCCCCGGCTGCTAAAGGGGATGCCCTTAGAAGGCAGTCATCTCAGCTACTGGTTTGCACTGTCTTGGCCTGACCTCCAAACCTCTGGATGTGAAACCTTTAACCTCTTATCCAGATGTGCTGTTCTGGTGTCAAACAGCTACATGTTTGGGAATAACTGTATAAATGCTGGCCAAAACTGAGGCCATAACCACCCCACCCCCAAACCAGAGATTTATGCTCACTGACTAAGATTTATGAAATTGCCGCCTTATGAATAGTTCACGGGCATTCAGGGTCAGCTGAAGGTTTTTAGAGGAACATTTGGGAGTAATTTTGGAAACATTTTGCTTCTTTCTCTTTTCTTTGCAAGTGGTAAGAGGAGAGGGAGAGAAGCCCAGGAACCATCCCTCCCACACGGCTAAGGAGGGAAAGCAGGACTCCATAGTCCCTGGCTCCTCCTGGCAGAATTTATAGTCCGCAGCCTGCAAATTACTGGAGGGAACATGGAAACCTGGGTAATGATGTGGGAGAGAACATTCTCCAGTGCTGACGTGGGTTTCCCTGCGCCAGAGAACCAGAGATGGGGTAATTGAAGCTCATGCTCCGAACAGTTATAGCAAAGGTAATTTCCATGGCGGCATTTGAAATATCCCCAGTGCACAGGGAGGAGGGTGGTGGCGGGGAAGCCAGACCTGATGAATGAGACAGAATCATGGATGCTCGGGCTTGGACCCATACAAGGCCCCAGGGTCTCCAGAAACTTAGAACTAAGTTGGGCCCTTACTCACAAAATGGGGTCCTCATTGGGTAGTAGAAGTAGGATGAAGGCGAGCCTAAAGCATAAACTCAGCAAAGGGAGGGACTCTGACTTTTCAGCACCATATCCTTGGCTCCAAGCATGGCTCCTGCCACTTAGAAGATCTTTAATATTTTTTGTTCAATGGATGAATGAATGAATGAATGATGGGTGAATAAATGGATGGCTCTAGAATAAGTGAATTGACAGTTCTGTTGTGTTCTACCTGTGTTCATCTCATGGCTTACACCTTGGCTTGCCCAGAGGATAGCAGTCAGAATAGTGAGGTGATGCTTAACTATGTCATTCAGGAGGCAGTAGAAAGAATGAGGGGTATTTAATGGTTAGCATAACAGTTTCCTGTCTTCAAGTTTCTGAACGCAGGAGACACTAGTGGGTTAGAGCTAGGGCCAATGCTTAGAACTCAGAGGCAGATCTGGGGTCCCCCAATATCATTGCTCACATTGATTGAGTGCTTCATATGTGCTGGGCATACTTTTGCCATTGCAGATGATAGACACTAAGGCTTAGGGAGTATATAGGTTTCCTGGGCTGCTGTCACAAATGACCACAAACTTGGTGACTTTAAACAACAGAAATGTACTGTCTTACAGTTCTGAAAGTCAGAAATCCAAAATCAAGATAGCAGGGCCAGGCACGGTGGCTCATGCCTATAATCCCAGAACTTTGGGAGGCCAAGGTGGGTGGATCACCTGAGGTCAAGAGTTTGAGACCAGCCTGGCCAACATGGTGAAACCCCGTCTCTACTAAAAATACAAAAAATTTAGCTGGGCCTGGTGGCAGATGCTTGTAATCCCAGCTACTCGGGAGGCTGAGGTGGGAGAATCCCTTGAACCCGAGAGGAGAGGTTGTAGTGAGCCGAGATTAGGCCATTGCACTCCATCCTGGGCAACAAGAGCAAAACTTCATTTCAAAAATAAAAAATTAAAAAAAAGATAGCGGGGTTGCATTCTGTCTGACAGCTCTAGGGAAGAATCCTTCCTTGCCTCTCTTAGCTCCTGGTGGCTGTTGGCAATGCTGGCACTGCTCTTGGCTGTGGACTCATCACTCCATTCTCTGCCTGTCTTCTCATGGCCTGCTCCTCTGTGTCTTGATTTGGATTGAGGGCCTACTCTGACAGTCCAGTGTGATATCATCCAAATCCTTCCTTTTAGTTACATCTGCAAAGACTCTTATCCCACATAAGGTCACATGCACATGCTCTGAGTATGGGGGGGTTATGGACTGGATATCTGCATCCCCCCAAAATTCATACATTGAAATCCTAACCCCCAGTGTGATAGCACTTGGAAATGAGGCCTTTGTGAGGTGATGGGATTAGTGATCTTGTTACAGGAGAAACCACAGAGCTTGCAGGAAGAAGAGGCCATGTGAGTAGAGAGTGAGAACTCGGCTGCCTATGAGCCCATACGAAGAAGCCTCAGGATGAAAGCTACCTGACCAACACCTTGATTTTGGACTCTTCTAGAACATGGGAAATAAATTTTTGTTGTTTTATAAGCTACCCAGTCTGTAGTATTTTTTTAATGGCAGCTTGAGCTGACTAATACAGGAACTACCATTCAACCCACTATGGAGTGGGCCAGTGGTGGTGGAGGTCAGGGGCAGCCAATGCTCCTCTTCTCTTCCCCATGGGAGCCTTTGAGAGCCTTTCTGACTTTCCAGCATGGACGCCACTTCCCCAGGAGGCATTGAGTTCTTATGCGGGCGTTCAATGGGCTCCACAGATCTGGGACAATGTGGTGGGGTCCCCTTGAATTCTGTGATTGCATGGTAGCCCCTGACCATGCCCCTTACGTTTTGTCCACTGGCAGCAAGCTTAAACCAACTGGCAGTGGAACTGAAGGCAAGTGTCTAACATTTATGGAGGATGACACCTTCTATGGGAGCCTGACTCGTGACCTCTGTGGGTATTTTTGGCCCAGAGAAAGGGCTGGTCTGAGCTGTGGCTATCAGTCTAATAGTATTAGAGGGTCACTACAGAGAAGGCAGTTATAAATCACCCAGAGTGGGCTGGGAAGTGAGTGGAACCTTTCTGCCTCTTTTGGAAGACTCAACCTGGGGAAAACATTTCATGTCAAGGGTGGGAGGGGGAGGTTTCTTAGATCCCTGGGCTCGGCCAAATGTGAAGTCAGCACTCCCCTCCCAACCTCCCCGCAATCCAGCCTTCCTCCTGTCCTCCCCTGGCTTCTATAATTCCGTTTGTTGTGCTCGCAAACACCGTGTTGGAAGATTTCATGCTAATGAAAGGGTTTCTTGATTAGGTTACGCTGTTACTGTAAATGTTCCCTCATTATCTATGTTATGGTAGGAATTTGAAAAAGTATAAATTGAGCGTCTTGCATAATTTATAAAACCTGAATGTTTCCTAATTAGTTCGGTTAGGTTAATGATGGTGCAGCGTCACTTCTTCCTGGTCCCGTTAATGACCTTTCCACTCTTCATTTTGAACACTTTCTGTTATTTACAAGCCCCCTCCCAACCCAAATCCAACAACCAGCTTCCGGAGTGTGGCCCCATCTAGCCTCTGATGGGAGGATGAAATGCCTTGCAGAATGTGAATGGCTCCTTTTTTCTCTGCATGTCCCCCGCCCAGCTTTGAGGCCAAGAGGCAGCCTGTTTAAAGGTTGGCCAGCCCAAATTTGGCTCAGGCCAATCCCCTGAAGAATGCCGGTGAAGTGCATTCTTTCGGCATTTGTATAGAGATTGGTGCTGTCCCCCATTAGCAGCCAGAGATGTGAAAATGCCGGAGGAGGTGGGGGAGGGAAAAACCCTCTCAAAAGGATTCTAAAATAACATTTTGCATCCTCAAGTAATTCCCAGTTCTCCCTGGCAACCATTCATTTCTTCCGAACAGCAGAAATTTGCAATATGAAAGTGGATTGGCTTCTCCCTCCCTTGGGGCCCCTGTATCTCTTCATCCAGCGCCTTGGGTAAAAAGCAATGCATACGTTTACAATATAAATGTGATTTAATCGACCTCCCTGTCAGGGAGAAATGGCAAGCATATCAAACAAGACCAAGATGTTAGAAAGAAAAATCATAAATTATTCCAGTGACGAGTTTCGGAGCCGCCTCCCAGACTACTAGCTGATGCTATATAAGGCTGTTCCTTGAAACAATAATTAAGATAATTCTGTATGACAAGGAGAAAAATGTCCAGCTTTGTATGAAATGTGCTTCATGTTAGCAAGCTGAATGCTTGGTATTGATTACTCTCTCCCCACAATCTCCCCCACCCAGTCGCTGTGATTCAAGGCTAAAATTAATTGAATGATGCAACATTTCTTTTCTCGAATCCTTATTTACCGTACATGCCTCCTAGAAGCCATGCAAAGTGGGCTGGCCTCTAATTCTCTAAATTGATCTCTTCCTTTGGCAGTGTCTGGGAGAATGCCGACATGTACGCACACACACTCACACACATCCTCAGCTGGGTGTCCATTGTTCTCCTCTCTGGAAGGTATGATTCCCCCCTCAGGCAGATTTGAGGGACATATCAGTACAGTACAGCCCTCACTATTCTGTTATTAGGCCACCATGGGGCTCTCCTACAGAAATATGGCCAATGCCAGAGGTCCCTCAATGCAGAAAGCTGCAGACGGGACTGGCTCACCCCACCTGCCACCCTTTCCCTGCTTGCAGTCCATAGAACAGCATCTGGCCTCTGTCTAGCAGAACATCCATTTTCCCCCTCTCCCCCTTCCAACCTCCCAGGGTATGGTGTGGATCAAGGAGGGACCTCTTCGCTCTCCCCTCTCCTATTCTAGCTGCCATATCCTGAGACAGTCGTCCCCCCTCCTATGAGAGGCACTGGGCAATTCCTGGCAGAGAGAGATGGTTTATGGCCTCAGCTCTGCTGGTTTTTCTGAGGCTCTATTTCATCTTGACTGCAGTTGCTGCCGCAGTGGTGGCTGGGAGAGAGAGCGAGGCACAGCTTCAGGTACTTAATCCACAGTACATCCCCTGGGCACCCGCAGCAAGGCTGATGCCTTCCCCTGCCTGGAGAAGCTGAGAGAGTAGTGGTAAAGGTAGCGACTGCAGGCAAGGTGCCCATGGGCAGTGGTTTGCCCCTGGAGCCAGGCTGGGGCTGGATTCCAGCATCTCTGGGCTTGTTGGGTTACTGAACAGGGCCCTTCCCACCCTGAACCCAGCTTCTTCCCTGCAGAAGGTGGTGGTGGGGATTCAAGGTGGAAGCCTGTGATGGGCTTGACACGTTGTGCACAATCAATGATTTTTAAAAAATCAGAGACATTTAGACAATTGTGCGATGAGTAAATGGCTCTTGGTTTGACAATCCTGTTTGTGACAACCCAGAGCCTTGTCCCCAGGAAACCATCCTTTCCAGAATGATGACAGAGAAGGACTCTTGTTTTCTGCCCTGGATGTGAGGGGGTGGTTGTGGTTCCACTAAGCCCTGAGGAACCATCCTTTGGGGACAGGCACCAAAGGTGCCCAAGGACCCCATGCCCTAGTCTTCCTCAGGAGACGTGGCATCATCACTCAGCTGTAGCCACAGCTCATGAAGCCAGATGGTGATAAGCACATTGCACGGAGGCTGAAGTGGGTGGGCCGGGAGAAAAGGCAGCGCTGGTGCCCAGAGCCGACTGCTATGGGAGAGAGGGCTGCCTATGTGGGCTCAGAGTTGGGGGTGAGGAGTCTAGAAGATAGGATAGGGAGAAAGCAGGCAGCCAGTGGGAGCTGGACCCATGGAGCATTAGTAACCCATTAACCCATACCCTTAAATTAGCAGATAACTACCACACTAGAGGCTACACTCCAGGATAAGGGCTGTGTGAATCTTGTCCACTCTCCCAGAGCTGAGTACAGTGCCCAGCACATACTAGTGCCCAATAAAGGAGTGGAGTGATAGGTGAGGGCCCAGGAATCCCTGCTGAGGGGAGTGGGTGCCAAGGCATCAGTCTGGAGGACTCTGAGGCTGTTGCACCTTGAGAATGGGTTGTTGAAAGGCAACGTGGGGAGGCTGTTTGCAGCCAGTTTCTCTCCTCACCCTCCCTCTGGGCGGAGGGGGGCTAGTGCAGCATCTAGAAGGCTTGAGTCTCACTTTTGCTGGGAGCCTCACATCTGGCACGAGGCCTGGGCCAAGCAGTGTCTGAACTGTCCTCCTCTGACCCCAGATGATCCATCAAATCCTCAGGCATCTCTGAATCCCTGCGCAGCCTGGTACCCCGTAGGAGCTCAACAAGGACTCCTGAGTGGTTGGCTGCTTGACGAAGAAGCAGCCCTTCTCTGTTGATGAAAGAGCAATTAAGACTTTAGGAGTCTGCAGTCTAGACAGGGAGCTGTCAAGTCTCACATAAGTGGGTCTGGGAACTGGTAATAGGAGATTAGGGGGGGCTTCTGGAGAAGAGAAGCTGCTTTAGAGGTGAGCAGGAGGGAGCCTGGGGGCGGGTCCCGGGGGTTGGGTCCTGTGCATTGCTCAGCGGGAGCCAGCGTGTCGAAAGTTCCAACCCCTCTGCCTGCCTGCTCTGTGTGTCTTACAGGCTTGTTTTTACACTGCTTTCTTTAATGACTTCTCACCATAGTCAAAACAACTCTCCTGTCAACTTATTACCTTAAAAATAGTTGAAAAGATGACACTTGGGTAGAAAGTGCTTTAAAAGAACAGCTACTTTCCCACACGCTCCTCTAGCTCTGCCTTAGAGAAGAGTCTTGTGTTTGGAGACCTGGGTTTTAATCCCAGCTGTCTCTCAAGGTGACTATGTGACCTTGGCCAAGTCATGGTACCTCTTGGAGCCTCAGATTCTTCCACTGTAAAACACGGTTAAAGCTCATTGGTGCATAGGAATAGAACATTCCCAATGTTTAGCTCCACACCTGTGTGTTCAGCCCATTTTCTCACGCAGCTGCCTGGGAAGGCTTCCTGGAGGAGGTGGCACAGAAGCTAGTTGCTGCGTAAAAGCCAAGGCCAGCGAGTTTGACCGCTGCAAGCTGAGCTTTTGTAGGACTCCCAGCAGTAAGCCTGGGTGGCAGCCATTCCCTGCCTCAGTTCCTGGACCTTCTCGTCATTGCCTACCTCCCCATCCAGGAGGCATCCATCCCTGTACCCTTTCCTCTGCCTTGCTTCTCTGGTCCTCAGAACAGCTCCCTGCCACCTGCACCCTCCTGGCTGGGAGAAGGGTACAGCCTCAGCTCTCAGAATTTGGAAGACTTTTAATTGCTGTCTTTTGTCCATGGAGATTAGAGTGACTCCAGCTTGGAGACAATTAGTAAATTATTATGATTAGTTTCCATTTGTGTGGTGCTACCCTTTGAGAAGCCCAGCTGATTTAATCAGGGTTGGTTAATGGGAGCGCTAGCAGCTCCCCTCACTCCTGACGTGCCTTGGAAACCAAGAGTGAATCCATAGACCGTGTTCACAGGAGCTCAGCATTTTGTGCTGGAGTAAGACCCTCTGCATTGCAGGATGCCTTCTGCTCATGGCTTCTTGCCCCACGGGTCTTTGGGGAGCTGAATAACTGGAGAGAGGGGGACGTGGGGACGTGGGCCTGGATGGGATGTCAGGGACCTAGGGTGTTTGCCTGGAAAGGGCCTCACTGCCCCATGCTCCCACAGTTCTCCTTACCCCACAGCCCACACCACCACTTCCTCCCTCCTCCCCTGCTTCACCTTCTCTCTTCAGATAGACTCTAGTCCAGTGGTTTGCAGACTTTGACTCATGTCAGAATCACCTGAAGCACTTGTCAAAACCAATTGCTGGGCCCCACTTCCAGGGTCTCTGAGTCAGTGGAGGAGGGGCAGGGCCTGAGAATCTGAATTCCTAGAAGTTCCCAGGTGCTACTGCTGCTTCTGGTCCAAAGAGCAACCTTTGAGAGTCATCTTTTCTTATGGTTTTCAATCCCGGGTGGACATTCGAATCCCTTGAGGAGTTTTTAAACTGATCATTTCCCAGCCCTCTGACCAGGCTGGGTTCTGTTGGTCTGAGCAGGGTCAGGGTAGATATTTTTTAAAGATTCTCCAGGTGACTCTGATGTGTAGCTTGGGTTGAGTGGGGGCCCTTTCCTGGAATGCAGACCTATTTCCAGGAGTTCAGGGGAGCTCTTGCCCAGTTGCTGAGAGGCTCAGCTTGGATTAGCAATACGTAGCAGGATGTGGACACCTGGGTTCTGGCTTTAGTGCCTGCTTCTGAGTGTTGACTTCTGATGTCCAAGTCTACCTTCCCTTCCTGCCCCATTCTTTCTTTCTTTTCCTTTCTTGCAACACCTCTTTCATCTGCCTCTCTTTCTTCCCCCGTAACTAGTTTAGTGAAGATCCCACGCAGTGGAATGGAGTTATTACAAGGTTTTGTTTTCTCTTGTCCCCCTCACTCTGTTGACTCCTTTTGTCCCATAACTTCTGGCCACTTTCATGTATCAGGACCTTCTCTGGTCTGACAAGAAACAGCAGTCTCACCGCTGTGTCAAACCCGTCTCCTTGGAGTGGGGAAGGAGAAACGGCTTTTTCATGTTGAGGCCATTCTTCTTCCTCCTTTCTTGGGTTTTCCAGGATGGGAAGGGTGGAGACCATCTTGCTTCACTCGCCTCCTCTCAGTGAGGTGGCCGGCTTTTGCTTGGGCTGGTTAAGGCTGCATCTGCCTGGTGTGCGTCTGCCCGTCCCAGTGGTGGCTCCTCTCTAGTGGTAGTCTCCATGCAGAAGGTGAGTGTGGGTTCTTCAGGGGCAGCGTCCAGCTTCACTTCACCTCTCTCATTCCTGAGTGTGCCCTCAGGAAGGACCTCATCTGGGTGGCAGCCACCTGGGCAGCCCACACCTCCTGCCTAGCTCTAACTTCCGTGCTTGTGTATGTGGAGACTCAAGGTCCTCTCCGCGGGTCCTTTCTCCTGGGAAAGCCAGGAAAAATGAGGTCGGTGATCCCCCATCCTATTCCCAGCCCTCTAAACTCTGGTCTGTTTTCATTTTGCAAGTGCAGGCCTCTACAGCAAGCTGCAGCCTCCTTCCTGCTGAGACTGCCAGACAAGAAGGCACCACTTCCTGTGTTCACATTCCAGGGGCGTATGCCATGCCTTCCCCTAGGCCGCACTTGCCACTTCCGCATTCAGCTAGCGTCCAGCTAGGGTGGGGAGGTGCTGATCTTCTTTTGCTGGAGGCATCCCTGTCTCTAGGCATGATTCTCCTGGAGGCCTTTCTCCTGCTTGGCTTAGGGGAGGAGAGCATTTTTCTCACCATGAATTCTTCCCTTGCGCTAGGCCATACGACTCAGCAGTTTTGCCTCTTGCCTATCCTGAGTGCTTCTAGATGGGGACAGGGGTGAGATGAAGCAGAGGGCAGTTGGTGGTCATCCCATAGACAGCCTGCTGGGCCTGCTTGTCAACAGCTTTCTCAGCGTGGAGTTGGTGTTTCTTCATCACATTGGGGGCCCAAGTAGCCAACCCCAGACCCACAGGAGGGACCCACTCAGCTTCCTGTTGTCTCCCCACCCAATGATCCTCCTCCCTATTATGTCCTCCCTGCTTTCCTACCCTGGACATTCAGTGAGCCTGACTCTGTCCCAGGCCCTGCTCTAAACCCTGGGGGGGCATAGACATGGGACAGCTCCCACTGCACTCACTGAGAGGTGGCAGAATTCTCCAACAGTTACCAGCCACCATCCTGCATCCGCCAGGAGCTCCTGCTCTGCCAAATGACCAGGCTGTGATACTAGGGTGGTTGGACTGTAGTGGAGGCAAGCCCAGGGATGTGGAAACACAGGGCAGGGCCAAATCACCAACTTTGGGGATTTAGGGGAAGCTTCCTGGCTTGGAAGAGGTGGTGTCTGAGTGGGGCCTTGAAGGATGAGTAGGAGTTTGCCACTCAGACACAAGAAGAACATTTTACGCTGAGGGAATGAAACATGAAAGTGGGGGCTGAATGCAAAGATGCTGAGTGTGATTGGAGCATAGAGGAGATGACATGATGGGAAGGGGCGAGGGACAGGCAGGGAGCAGGTCATGAAGGGTCCTGGAGACCGTGCCATGGTAGGGAGCACTTCCCAGAAACATCTCAGAGTGAGCTGTTGGGCACTCCTCCCTTCACCCCAAGGCTTCTGTTTTGAAGGGTCTAGTTGGACACTTTCTTCACATGGTGGCAGCTCTGAAGCTGCAAGCACTTGAGTAGCCAGCATTTCTGAGAAGGGAGGACTTCCCATATTGATTGCAGCAGAGCAGGTGGAGGTGATGGGTGGGCAGCAGAGATCCGAGCAGGATGGAGGATGAGGCAGCTCCCTTTGGGTCCTCACTCCAGTGGCTTTCATAGGAGGGGCCTGAGCGTCAGGACAATTCCTGGCTTGGTTTGTCTGGGGAAGTCTTTGGCTAAAATACCAGGGGCAGAAATCTTGGCTGGGAAAGAGGAATTCACAGGACTCGAATGATTTACCTAAAAGAAAAAGCAGAACAGGGATTATTTTTTTTGGAGGTGGGACTCTGGCGTGACATTTTAAAAATGCATGTTTCCATTTCTCGTGTTCTGTGAGCATATGTTGCTTTTCAATAAGAAAAAACCCCATGTTTGTTCCCCAGCTATTTCACCAGTGCCTATTTATCTTGTGCCAGCCTTCAGAGACCCTGCGGGTAGAGGGATACACTAGACAGGGCAGCCAACACCTTCCCAGAGTGCGACCCTCTCTCACAGTTAGTGGGCACCCACAGTGGTGGGTCTAGGGGCACTTCCTGTATCACATCACTCGTCTTGACAATGACTCTTGAGGATGGGTATAATTAACATCAACTTCCAGATGAAGAACCTGAAGCTCATAGCAGTTAAATCACTTGGCTGAGGTCACACAGTAAGGTGTAGCCACGTTGGGCTTCCAGTCCAGATGAGCTTGGCCCCAAAGCCTGGGCCATTTGATGCTGATTCTTTTGGTCTATTGGACTCCTATGCAGGCTCCCTCTGCCAGGCCTGCCCCTTTGCACCTTGGGTACCGCTGGGGAAGTCATACAGCTTCTCTAGGCCTCGGTATCCCCACCTATAAACTAGGGATAATTACATCTCCCTTGCAGGCTCATTATGAGGCATAGGGAAGTGTGATTAATGCACGTTACTCAGGACAGTGCCTGACACTGGATGCCTGGCTAATGAGGTCTTCTAATCATGGTGTGGGACAATGTGAGCTGGCGTTGATTCCCTGCTTCTATCACAAGAAATAATTCACTTCTGTCTCTTTCCAGTTTCTGGCTTCAGAAGATGTAGGTCCTCGGCTTCCTTAAGCTCCTAAACTCAGACTCAGGGGAGGGATCTGTATGGAAAAGGCAGTGGCCTCCCTGTCCTGGTTCCCACATCATTGTCCCCTGGCTTCCCATGGCTGTTTCTTCTCAGGCCCAGGCTCAACCCAGCCCTGGAGATAGCCCAGACATGGGCCTTCAGCATGGAACATCAACCCCATTCACACGTGGTCTTAAGATTAGTTACAAAGACCAAGGCCAGGGTGAGCCTGGAGCAACCATGTATTCAACGCTCCTACTGCTGTAAGTCTTGCTGTTTGGGACCTGTTTTCTCCAGGTGCTCCACATACATCACTCACACCCACTGCTTGGAACACAGCATGTTTGCCCTGCTGGTTCCCTTCCAAGATGACAACCATAAACTCTGCAGTCTGAAGGAGACCCTCTGTTTCTGGAGGGTTACCAGAAGGTTGTGCTGCCCATCCATCTCCCAGAAGAGCCTGTGCCTTTCCTTCATTTGAAGTCAGACCATCCCCTACCTTGCCGTGTGTTCTGTTCCAGGTAGCATTGCCTTGCCACCTAGCTCCACTTAGGTGTGGTACCCTGGGCTTGTATTGAAGGCAGGATGTTGGGAGAAGCAGCCCCTAAGAAGCTAGTTATTGTGCCTATTGCAGGAGGAAGAGTGTTAAGGAAATTGCTGGGAGACATTTTTCTCACCTTTAGAACCAGGAAAAGGAGGGCCGATTATGGAGAGTTCCTTTTTATCTGTGGAAACCAGGCTGAATGAGACTGCGTCTTCCTCTCCGCTTTGTCTGCTAGGAAGCACAGAGCCCAATGCATAGCCCATTTCTAGGAGGTGCCCAGGACCACAGCATTAACACCATGGTGTGTAACCTCACCCTTGTCTAGTGATTGACTGGAGCCTGCTGGTCCCCAGGACTGCTCTTTGTGCTGTCCTTTGGGGTCCAGCTCTGCATCTGACTTGGTTCCCCCCAGCCCCATCAAGTCAGCTGGAGAGCAGGACCTCCCTGGGTTCTGGCTGCTTCTCTTTCCAGCAGACCTGTGTCTTCCTGGCATCCCAACAGCCATGGTTGACTTTTCACGTTTCCATGGGAACAGTCTGACTGTAGCCAGACAAGTAACTAGAGAGGCTGAGGAGGAGCGTGTGTGAGTGTGTGTTGTGTCTGAGGCTGCTCTTGGAGCCCAGAGATCTTGTGTACTTCCCTTCGGCTTGCAGTGGCTGCAGCAGCCTCCTCTTGGTGGTAATCATGGCCCATTTGCACCTCCTACATCTCCATTGCTGACATAATATTGCACCGGGGTCCATCCATCTGCATAATCATCTTAACCTGCTCCCATAAGAGAGTTTAAAAGGTCTGGGCTGTTGGAAAATGACCATAAAGCCTGAACGCAGATACCTTTAGCAGCAACGCCAACATCTATCACAGGGTAATTAGAGGCAAGGAGTGAGGGCTCCTGGCTCTGTGTCGGGGAACTGTTTGGGGCTGCGTCTGCTCTGACTGTTGAAAAGAAAGGGAGGGAAAGACCCAAGAAGGCAGTCCAGGAAGGAGAAGAGCAGTTTCTGCAGCAATAAGAGGATTTCTTTTTACTGGAGGGTGTGCAGCTTCTCCAAGGGGAAGGAACTTTGCCTAAGACTGTTTGGGGACTCCCGGGACCTCTGTTCACACGTTGAATGCGCCATGGTTTTCTGAAACTAGAAAAATCATGACCAGGACTGTTCCTTTCTTACTGTGTTCTAGGTCCCAAACTCTGGAGTGCTGTGTGGTCTTGAACAAGCGCCCTTTTCTCTCTGTGATCCCATTTTTCTATTTGTAAAATGTGGGGATTGGACAAATCCGTCAGTTTCCAAACTCTTATTTGTGGAACACTGGGGCTCACTGGCAGGGATGGGGAGAGGGAAGGGGGTAGGCAGGGGTGAGACCCACCTCCTTTACTCCAACCACAGTGGCTTTTCTTTCATTGGTCCTACATTCAGCTTTCTAAGGAAGGTTATACATGAAGAGCAGTTTTCTGCTACCAGAAGCACTGGACCCCCACTGGGCTCCAAGATCCCTTAGAGTCTCTGGTGTTCGTATGATAAAAGTACTAGGCTTGGAAAACCAGATTTTGCTACGTCCTTTAACAAGTGTCGCTTTATTGTGCTGAATTTGATCTCTCCAGAAAAATAGTGGCGTCTGTGCAGACAGGCAGTGCGACTTGAGGGAGTGTGAGGACCCCACGGAGTCAGACACAGAGGGGCAAGAACAGCTCTTGCAAAGCAGAGACCAGGGGCCAACTGCCCACAGCCGGCCTCCTCAGGCCCAGTGGGGCTCCAAGTCTTCGGGAATGCCCCAGGCAGTGGGTGGCTGTCCTCTCTGTGTTGAAACAACAGAGCTGTTTTCTTCTGGGTCCCCCGCCCCCCTTGGCTGTCAGCTCTGAGCAGGGTGTGCAGCCCCCTGGCTCCTATCCACATGGAGCCTGGTCATCTCCTTCTGGGGTCTATCAACTGCATGAGCTGTCAGTGGAGGCCACGGCGGCCTCTCCGTTGCTGACCTCTTGTTCCCCAGCCTCTTGAAAACTCGCTGCAATTTGTCTCTGATCCTGCTGCAGTCTCCCCGCCTTCCCCTGAGGTCGGGGCCTCAGGCTCTCAAGACTGTAAGGCTCACTGTCTCCGCTGCTGCCTCATTTGCCAGGCACTTCAAGCTCCAAGTCTCCCCTCCTTCCTCACTTTTAGGTCTTTGAAATTTTGCGCCCCTATATTCGAAAGTTATCCTGGTCATTGACAGTGCAGGGAGAGAAACTGCTGAAAGCATTCCCCCTTGTTTGGAGGGTCCACTCCTGTCCCTTCTAAACTCTGGAGTTTTCCACACCTCCTCTTTTCTGTCACCTTTTAGATGCCTCCTGATACCTGGTGTCTCGCTTATGGTGTGCTCCCTGTGTGAAGCTCAGTGCTGGTGTCTGTGAGGCTTTAACCAAGGTATACATTGAAAAAAAAGAAGAAGAAGAAGAAATAAAAGAAACTTTTTTCTGTCTGACTTTCTGTGTGTGTCAGCCCAGGCCTGGGGAAGTGTGAGGGCAGGCTGGGTGAGTTTGCCAATCTTGTCATCCCAGAACCCCAGAAACATCACTACCCTAGTGCTCCCTGCACACCCAAGCCATGCTGGCCAGATGTGTCGCTCTGGTCTCTGTTCGACTCCAGCCCAGCCTATTCTCCTTGGCAGCAGCTCCTGGCATGCTCTGCAGAAGGGGCAGCTATTTCAAACCAGGCTGAGGGCCCTGGATGTGGCCATTTAAAGAAAAGATGATGGTAGCTGTCTTGCCAGGCAGCACCACTGTGGTCTCACAGAGCACCTGGCAGCCTGCTTCAGAGTACACACATTGCCTGCAAAGAGTGCTGGTTTTCTGTTCCTTCTCAAAACTTTGCCTTGGGACAGTGGCTGGGTCGGAGGCTAAGGCCGTCTTGGGGCATCCTTTGCCCAAGTGCAGTTCTTCCCACTGAGCCACAGTGTAACCTCTGACAGAGTCTGCCCAGGCTGGGGCTGGCGGGTCACCTATTTATTTTAATAGGGCAATCTCTTTTGGGATGACTGTAAGCAGAGGCCCCAAGTGAAAGACATTTGAAAACAAGCTGCCTGGAAACAAGCCTCTTGGAGGACCACAGGGGGGTGGATTCTGGAGTCTTCTCTTAACGTGCATCCATGCCTCCCCTGCCTCCATTCATGTTGGCCTAGTCCATGGCCCTCCCCTCCTACTTGAGGAGAACAGCCTTCCAGACTCCTGGAGGCCCAGGCATGGGACGTGCCACAGGTGGACCTAGAACCCAGGTCTCTGAGTCTCAGTCCACTTCTCATCACTCCTGCTGAACCCACACGTCCCTCAGCAGGTATATTAACTAGAAGAGCCTTGTTGTGGCTGTGGAGGTCTGGCAGTTACATGGAGGCGCAAATAAACTCTTGCAAGATACTGTGGGGTGCTAGAAGGAGTAACTTCCTGGAAGGCAAGAGACCTGGTTGTGGTCTCAGATCTGCCAAGCGGCTGTGTGATGTTGGATGAGCAGCTTGCCCTTTCTGGCCTTGGCACCTGTAGTTGTACAGTGAGTGGTTTGACTCTGGGATGTGTCAAGGCCTCTTCAGGGTACCTCTGCTCTAGGTAATGTCAGGATCTTTCTCGAGGCATGAAGGAGAAGCTTGTGGTAGCAGACAAGAGCACGTGGAGCAGGACGGGATGACCCTGGTGTTCTCATGGAAGAAGGTCCATGACAGCTCCTTTTCCCCACGTGGCCTCGTCTCGGGGCCCCAAAGTGAGTGCAGTGTGGGGCCTGCCTGCTGCCCCTCCTGGAAGCCCTCGCTGGGGCAGTGAGCAGTTCCATGCTCTATATCTTCATCCCATGGTTCTTCCTAGGGATCCACTTGTGACAAATGCCTCCTTGATGGGAAGTGGGCAGGAAACATCTCCTGAAGTGCAGGGAGCCGGCCCTCTGGATGTAGCAAAGTCCCACCTATTCATGTGGGCACCAACCTGGGCAGGTATGAAGTGACAGAGAGGAGGAAGCTTAGCACCTGCTGTCAGGGCGTGTAGACTGGCAGGGTAGGCAGCAGTACTGCTGCTGAGGTCATGAATCTTAGTCCTCTCACTCAGCTGGTGACACAAATCACTTGTCCCACAGCTGCTTCCACGATCCATTCTGTGGGGCTGGTGGAAACCCATCACCTCGGCTCCTCTGGGGTTGTCCTCCTGCCTCTCAGATTCCTTCTCTGGGCATGGCTCATCCCAGGAGTCAGAGAGAGGGTCCTCTGGGTGTCACCCCTCAGGCCCCTGGGCCCTCACTCTCCCTGCCTGTAAGGCCCCTTCAGGGCACAGCCTGCTCTCTGCTGCCTTCCAGCCCTGACTAAGGCACAAGGCTCCTTTCTGTGGCTGTCCCCAGCCCTGGCCCCCAGAGGTCTCCCCAGGAGCCTTTGCTGTGGGCTCTTGCTCAGCAGGAGCAGAGAAGGCAGGGTCCCTCTCTCGAGGAATAGCTTTCACTACTCTCCTCCCTCCAGCTTGGGGAAATCTCCTTTTGGTTTGGGAGCAATACTTCCACATTTACGTTTCTTCCAAGATCCCCTGCTTCTTGCTAAGACCCTGGCTCTCCTGCTTTCTTTCTCCACAAAGCCTCCACATCTTCTAACAGATTTACACCACTGGAAACAAAAGCCAGGACATCTCATGGGTGCCTTCTGCTTTCCCCTGTGTAGCCGGCATCTTGTGAAACAAGGGTGCACAGAGAGAACGGACAGGAAAGGGAGAGCAGAAAACTCAGGAAAGAACAGGCCCTCTGAGCTGGGATTTTAAAGTAGTATCTGGGCACCATCCCGGATACTACGTTCCCATGTAGAAGCACATGTGAACATGAGCGCCTGCCCCTAGGCTAGTGACTAAGGTCCCCATGAAAGAAGGAGAGCTCAGATACAGACTGGATTCTGCAGTGCTGCCCAGGCCCCAGGATGTGGACAGGATAGGACAGGTCCTTGGCTGTATAACTGGGAGCCAACCATGATATGAAGCCACACTTGGGTCACGCAGGATGTCCACAGAAGCCTCAGTCTTGAGGTGGTATGCAGAGAGAGCGTAGCCAGATCCTGTGCATCAGGAGGGAAGTAGAAACCTAGCCTGAGATTCAGAAGAGAGGAGAAGAGGTGGAGCCTGGGAGTGGCCCCAGATGGGGTATGGTTTTGCAGGTCAGGCTTAGGAGTTCAAGCCCGGTCCTTAGGCCACAGGGAGCCATGGGTGGTTTTTGAACAGGGATGTGAGTGGTGAGAGACAGGAAAGGTCCTGAGTGAGTTTGAAGAGAAAGGTGGAATGGATAATCACTGAGCTGGGAGTTCTTTGGAAGGCTTCCTGAAGGACTCATTCATTCATTCATTCATTCACTCAACAAAGGCTTCTCTAGCACCTTCCATGTGCCAGACACTGCTCATGGTGATGAATATAATAGAGTGTCTTTCCTATAGCACTTACATTGTGGGTAGGGGAGATGGGCAAACCTTAACCAACATATAAACATTTTTTCCAGGTGGTGATGTAGACTCAGAAGATATCATTGCAGGGTAAGGAGACTGAGAGTGAGAGGGGATGCTCTTCCAGCTAGGGAAGCCAGGGGAAGCTTCTAGAGGAGGTGGCATTGGAGTAGAGACCTGAAGAGAATGTGGGGGTTGATTTTGTCCTAAAGAACACGTTGGCTTTGCGCAGCTATGATGGACAGGGAGTGTGAGTGAAGCCTTTGGGGAAGAGTTCACAGGAGCTGCAACCTGCCAGTCTTGTTGCTGCAGAGACTCTGTGGGGGTGAGCTTTGGGTGGTGAGGTTGGAAGGGAGACAGTGCCATTTGGGATGAGAGTTCTAAGGCTGGGTTGAGGACTTCAGTCTTGCTCGGTGAGCCTCAGAAAGTTGCTGTGCAGGAGGTGAGCAATGGAATGAAAAGCGCTTGGGTCTCTGCAGAAGGCTCCCTTCCAAAATTACAGTGGGTTGGCCAGGGCAGGGATCCAGGAGCAGACTGAGCATGCCCAGAGAGCCCCCTCCTTTGCAATTACTACAAGTCCCAGCACAGGGCAGGGCCAGATCCCTTGGGGATCTTCTCCACATCAAAGGGGAGATTAGCTCCAAGCCCCTAACGATGCTGGATGTGCTGGCCACACTCACCAGTGCTGCCTCCTCTGAGACTGTCAGCTTTATATCTGCTTCTTTTTATCAATACGGGCAAATAATTCTCTAGACATTTATCATTTTAAACTGTCACAGTCCAGTGCCTTTCCCGAGGACCACAATCAATACTGATCTCGGTTTGAATACTTTTCTGACAAGGTTCCTATTTGTAGATTCACAAGTAGAACTAATGTGTGTTAAAGCTATTCAGTTTGGCATTTTGCAGCTCCATTGACACATTAAATATAGGCGTTCACCACGACGATTAACCTTACAACTATTAAGTAATAAAAATCCCACATACATATTTATTAGCTGAACATCCTATTCCGGCATGATGCCTTCCCCGACGAGGTCTTTCCATGATGGGAAACCAGAGAAGGTGGAGGTGCTGCTGGAGAGATGAGCTCACTCTTTGCAGAGAATGTCAGGAGGGATGTGGGATCTCCAGGCCACAGTGTTGGTGGGAGGAGGGGAAGCTGCTCTGGGGATGGAGGCCCGGATGGAACTAGAGTTGACGGGGTACTGAGGTGGGTAGCAGCAGAGCTGAGATGTTCTAGGATGGTGGATCCAGCTGCTCTCTGGGGTGAGATCCCAGACTTCCTCATTCCTGGTGCTTCTGAATAGGTATCCTTTCTCTTCTTGGGCCTCAGTTTCCTCATCTGCATAATGGGGTCAGACTAGAATTGGTGCCTCCTGGGATTTTTATAAGGTCATGGCATGCGTACAGTAGGATAAAATTTGTAAAGCCTACAGCATCAACAGACAAGGAGTGACCAGCTTAGGAGACCCTGGGTGCCCCAAAGCCCCCTCTGGTGATCATGAGGGTTAAGGCGATTGACAGCTCAGTGAGTGGGGCACACCAGCGGGGACTATCAAGTAGATGAGCTCAGATGTCCCTTTTGCAGTGGATGCTTGGTGACTCTGTCTCCCTGCTTATTGATGTGGAACTCTGCTTCCTGGATCTGTCTTTTCTGGGCCAGCATCCATAGGGACCCTGAGTACCTATTTCCTGGCACAGGGGTGCATGGGCCCCAGTATCCTGGGTGTCAGCTGAGGCAGCGACAGGGTGGACATCTGCTCATGTCTACTGCCATTCTGACCAGTTGGTGCCCAGGCCCTTCCCATGACTAATAATATGAGCTGGGGGGCTTCATAATGGGACAGGCGCGGGGTTCTAGAATCAGCACTCCCAAATCCAGACACCCTTGCCAGCCTTGGGGGCATCTATCCACCTTTACCATTGGTCCATATTCGTGAGCTCTGGCTCAGTCCCAGGCCCAAGGCCAGCTGGGGTTGGGGAGTGGGTAAGTGACAGCAGGACACACTGTGTAGTGGCGGAAAGGAGGAGTCTCCACACAGTTGCAGCACATGGCAGAAAAGGGGGCAGAGATCAGAGAGGGCTTCCTGGAGGAAGGAGCCTCTGCTTCTAGACTCACTGGACAAGCCAGGATTCTTCAGGCAAAGAGTGGAGAAGAGTATTGTCGGCAGGAGCATGGCACATGAGAGGGGATGCTGCAGTGCCTGTGAGGGGTGCCCTGAAGACTGCACTGTGGGAGCACAGCCCCATGAGAGCTCCAGCTGCCGTGCTCTGATGTCACTGCTGTGTCTATGCTCCCAGCCAGCGACTGAGTATGCAGGCGTGTTCCAGGAGACAAGGGCCGTGCCCTGACCCCTAGATGTGGCCTTGCCAAACCTTCATGAGACTGCATAGCATCTTTTCTTCACTCATGGTCAGACCTGCTCTGGGATCTGGCGGCAGCTCTCCCAGCCTTTCCTCACCCCCTCTCCATTTTCTCGCACACGGACGTTTCCCTAATAAATTCCTCGCACGTTGCATCCCATATGGGTGTCTGCTTCTTGCAGGACCCAAACTAACACAAGCAGGAAGTGCTTCAGGAACTGAAGGGGGTTCATTCTGGCCTCTGGGTAAAGTGTGAGGGTGAAATTGTGATTTTCCATTTTACAACAAGGGAACAAAGTGCCTGCAAAGTTCTAGATGCAAAATACTTTTTAAACTGCAACATGACTTGTGAAGATAGGCCCTGTTGATGGCTGTGGAAGAGGTTAGGTGCTGGAGCAACACTTCCTGGAAACCTGAATGCACATTTGCCATCTCATAAAATCCCCCCAATGGAGAAAGGGAAGTGCACTTGTCTCCATGAACGCCGGAGGAGAGAGGGGCTCAGATATGCACCATCTTTGGCGCATCAACTTTGGGTCTGGGATAGGAACCCAGGTGTGTCTAACAGCAAAGTGTGTCCCAATCTTCTGAGGTGTCTAGACACTGTTCATGTGCCAAGGGACAATCAAAACCTGTCACCTCGGCTACAGTTGGCAGGAGGATACTTCCACCCACACTCCAGTTGAAACCGCAGAAAATGCTGTTAGGCTGGCTGGCCTGGGATGTGAAGCTGTATAGAGAAAAGGCAACTCTCCATTTTTAATTTATTTACAATTTATTTTTATTTATTTATTTTTTTTAGGGACAGGGCTTTGCTCTGTCTCCCAGGCTGGAGTGCAGGGGTGCCATCATAGCTCACTGCAGCTTTGACCTCCTGGACTAAGCTATCCTCCTGCCTCGGCCTCCTGAGTGGGAAGGACTACAGGTATGCACCACCCTGCCCACCATGCCCACCATGCCCAGCTAATTTTTTATCCTTTTTTTTTTTTTTTTTTTTTAGAGATGGGGTCTTGCTATGTTTCCCAGGCTGGTCTTGGACTCCTGGCCTCAAGCAATCCTCCTGCCTCAGCCTTCCAAAGTGCTGGGATTACCGGCGTGAGCCACCGTGCTGGGCCATGACTCTCTAGAGTGGGCCACAGAACCCCTACACAGCTGAGAGATGTGTGGACAACTTTTGCAGCACTGTGGTTTTGCTCAAGACCGCTGTCCCTTGGCCTCTTGCTGCACTCCCAGAGTCAGAAGGTTGGGGCACACTGGCTTTCTCCTGACCTCAAATGAAAGGCAAGGAGGCCTGGGATTGAGGCTGGCTCTTTTACCACCGTGAGACCCGATCTCTGGGACCTGTCATTGGAGGGCAGCTAGCGACCGTGGGGCAATGGGGAGCAGCTGACCTTGCAGCGGGAAGGGCCATGCCTCTACTTTCTAAGACAGAGGGACACAAGGGGCGAGGTGCCTCTCCTGGGAGGTGAAGGCTGGTATGGTTCAGTGCCGGGGCTGGGGCAGGGAAGCCTGGAGCACTCAGACCTGCTTCTGGGGGTGTCCCCTGAAGATGGTGAGCTGGATTAGCCACTGTCAGTGAGGTGCTTCTGGTTTTTCTCTGTTTCTATTTTCTATCTTGACAGAAAAATTGTGATTTTCACACTGTCACTAAACCAATAGGTCCCTGACATGTGTTTTTGTAATCTGTGGAGCTGGTTTCCTGTACTTCTGACAGTTCTATTACATCTCTGACAGTTATATAAAATTTTTCCTCTGGGAAGTTGATGGGGGCTTTTGCCTCTCCCCTCACTGTAACTCCCCAGTCCCCCATGCTAACTTATGTTTGGAGATGATGGAGCAGGATGAATGCTTTTCTCGTTCCTGCCAGTCACCTCCTGGGAGGTGGACGGTAGAGTGCACAGCCAACAGACAAGGGAGGGAGACCCGAACCTGAGCTCCCTCAGGTGGGAAAGGGGAGCAGGACAGATCCAGCCCTGGTGACTCAGGAACCCACAGTGGAAGGACGCTTCATTCCTGCTGGGTTCCAAATTCGGCTGATTCCCTCTGAGAGTCCTGCCCCCACCCCTTGCAAACCACAGGGCACTGTACTGAGGGAGGAGTGCCACCCTGCTTCATACTGATGCCTGGAAATATATGGGGGCAGGAGGTTGGGGCAGAGCCTTGGCTGCAGTGTGTGCATGCTTGTGAGTGTGCACACGTGTGTGTTGAATTCAGGGTGTCACATCTGTGCACATCCACCCTTGCCAGACACTGTGCCAGGCCCTGGGGTGATGGGGCTATAGCCTCTGTACCTGGGGGGCCCAGGTGTGGGTATGAATGCTAGAGCTGCACCCATGGGTGGAGCACCTACTCTGGGTAAGTCTGTCCCTGTGCTCACACTGGAAGCACATGCATCCATGGGCATGCATGAGTGCGTGGTGCATATGGGGGTAGATGTGGGGAACATGTTTGCTTCTGACTCGGTTGCTACTGTCTGGTGCTAAGCACAATGTCTGTCTTCGAGACAACTACTTCTTTAGCAGAAACAGTGATAGAAGGGGGCGCTGGAGGGACGGGAGCAGGGGCCAACATCACCTCAGCCACAGGCATTGCCTGTCCATGAAGTGGGAGCTTTGTCACCCTGGTCCTGTCACTGCCCTTCTGTGTGGCATTGGACAGATCCCATTGACTCAGCCAAATTAGGAGGAGGCACTGAACATTATCTTGGGTATTCTCTATGAAGCACATATAAAGTGGCCCCTAGACCCCCAAATAGCACCTCAGCCTCTGCGAATGCCTTTGCCAGATCTCAGCCTGGTCTTGAGACATTATTTGGGGCCTTTCAATCGACTTAGCCACTCTGATTTTCCTGTCTATGGAAAACGAGGCGTTGCCATGGCAACTGCCACATTACACGGTTCTGTACTGACGATGCCTCTGAGATACAGAGCAGCTTCTCAAAGAGATACACTTTTCAACATGTCATGTAGAATTCTGTACTTGTTAGGGAAAATCGCATTTCCAGCAAAATGACATGTCTCTCCCGGGCTTGCGGACGCATGGCTCACGCCTTCCTTAAACAAAGAATTTTATTCACTGCCTCCCTCCTGCCTCTCTGGTCTGCTACTTGCTACCCACCCCTCCCGAGCCCCAATTCCCTTTACATAAAACATGAAGCTGGAGATGAGGGCTGCGCAGAGGGCAGGGCTCCACTAGCCAGGGTGGAGGTGCCCAGAGTGGGCTGTCCCTTACAGCGGAGGGGCCCAGAGGCCAGGTCTGGGGGTGGGTGCCTTGGCTCTGGCTGTGGGGTCAGCTAGCTGGCCTGGTTCTCCTATGTCCCTCCACTGGCTTCCAGGACCCTGGCCTGACTTCTCGGGGACATGCTTAGAGGAAGGATTGCAAGCTCCCCAGCCCCACTCCTTGGTCAGCGCTGCAAAGGGCCTAAGTGAGGAGCTGTTGTCCTCTTCAAGGTCATGGCCTCCACATATCTCGTGTGTTCAGCAGAACCATGTCAGCTGCTCTGTCCCTGTCAGGCAGTGTGTTGGGGATAAAGCCAGCCTCACTGGACCCACTTGGTGTGACACTGGACCCACTACTTTCCCTTCTTGACCTCAGATCTGCCATCTGCCCCTGAGCAGGTGGGCTGGATGCCCCTGGCAGAGCCTGCTCTGAGAGTCTGAGAGCCTGTCCCCATGCTCCCACAGATCTCCAGACCCCAGCTCTCCTTGTGGTTCTACCTAGAGAGTCTGAAGCTCTCTTTCTCTCAGATTCTGTGACTGATAAATTGGCCACTGAGATATCCCAGGAAAGTCTGTGTGGACACAGGGATGAGCTTCCCCTAAGGGAACTGGCTGCCTGTACTTCTGAGCTCAAACCAGAAGGCTCCTATCCTGGGAGCCCACTCCTGCATGTTGGCCTTTGCCGGAGGGATGTTGGACCAAGCTGCTGAGTGACCAGGCCAACACCTCCAAGCACTGATGCATTCAGATTACTTGATGAATTGATGCAACATGCATGTGTTGAGGGTCAGCACTAAATGAGTTAATACATGTGAAGTTGTTTGATGAGTGCTCGGCACATACGAGCCATGGTGCTCATTGGCCACAGTGGCATGAGAAGGGTGTGGAGACGTGGAAACACTTGCACAGCCACTGCCTCCAAGGAGCTTGGAGAGAGGGGACAGCCCAGCATCGAACAGTCTCAGCACAGGTGGGGTGGGAGTGCTCAATGTAGCCTGGTCCTCGAGGCTGGGGAACCCCTGAGGGTCTCCAGCCCTTTTCGCTGGGCTGAGGGGAGCTCTTGCTTTCAGGAGAACTGCCTGAGGCCCCTTCATTCTTTCCTATTAGAATGGCCTCAGAACTAAGACTCCCCCCAGGAGTTAATCCCACAGTTTACATTGGCCTCTCTCCAGGGAGTGAGTTTGAGGACCATTTTCTCCCTCTGCCTTCCCTAAGGCAATCACATTGTTCCTGGAAAAGCTTGGCTATGGAGGGCTTTGTAGGCCCCTGGGGCTCCCTGTGGGTGGTGAGGAACCCTCAGGTCAGCCTCCTTTCACAGGCTGGTTATCTGGGAATTTGGCTCTTAGACAAGTTGATCAGCAGTTGTCCTTCTGCCAAGGGCAACAGGGAACCTCTGGAGGGGTGCAGTGGGTTGGTTCAGGGCACTAGAGAGAGTAAGGAATAGCAAGGCCTGTGTCAGATACAGAGGAGCAGCTTTACACGAGGAATTCAGTTTTCTTTCCTTGAGACTAGTGATGTTCCAAGTGTGGTTCACAGGTCTGTGTTGCTGGTTCACAAATTGTTAGTGGTGCACGAAGGAGTAAGGAGGTTGCATCAGAGCATAAAGCAAATACAACATTAAACACATATTTAATTCAGCTTATATATGCACACAAACACGCATGCCCATAATTTGTATCACAAGACACTCTTGATGAAGGCAGCAATGCATCGATTCAGGTTCTAGTGCAAGCTTTGAATGCCATTGCAGACAAGCTCTCTGAGTAACACTGCTCTCCACCACCTCTCACCTGTCTCCCAGTGGAGATGGGATCTGCCTCTGTGCTGCCCAGGCCAACATTCCCTCTCTAGTGGCCTCCAGGAGCTTCCCACTGGGTCTCCCTGCCTCCAATCTTACCATCTTCCAGCCCAAAGCATCCTCCACCCTGCTACCAGAATGTGCTTTCTATGCAACCCTGGCCATGTTGCTTTCCTGCCAAACACCTTCCAGTGGGTCTCCGAGTCCAAGTTCCTTAGGGCGGTGTTACGTAAGGGCCCTGTGAATCTTGCTCTCTTAATGCCTTCCCACCTCATCGCCCACCCACCTTGCTTTGTCATCTAGTCACAGGATTTCTTTCAGTTCTCCAAATATATGGCACTTTGTCTTACTCCTAGGCCTGTGTGCAAACTGTTGCTCCTGGGACACTGCTCTCCCTTCTTTTGTCCTGGCTAACTCCTATCCCTTCTTCATCAGAGACATTATCTTTCTGAATTAATTAGGATGGCCTCAATTGTATGAAAGAGACTGTTTATTTTCTCAAATATCCTTCTTTCTTATCTATGGAATCCCCCCTTTTGGTTAGGTTGATGGCTGCCCAGGACAAATGTAGCTCCCAGCCTCCCTTACCGCCAGATGTGGTCATGTCGCTAAATTCTAGTCAATGGGATATAGACAGAAGAGTTTCTGGGAGGTGTTCTTAAAAGAAGAGGGGGATATTTCTTCCACCTCTCCTCCTCCCTGCTATCTGGAAAGCAAATGTGATGCCTGGAGCCTGGGCAGCCCTCTTTGAGCCATGTGAGTGGAAGTCACATGCTAAGAATGGCAGGGCAGTGAGACAAAAGATGCTTGGTTCTCTGATGACTTTAAAGCTGCCCCTGTCACTCTGAGCTGCTTATCTTCAGACTTCTTATACATGAAAGAGAAATGAGCCTCTATCTTGCAAAAGCTACTGTTATTTTGGGGCTTTCTATTAATCACAGTCAAATCTAATTCTAATTGATGCAGGTGCAAGTAATTGAATACCTGAAAGTAAGGAAGACATTTTAGATCTCTCTTTTAACAAGACATCTGGAGGGGGCCTGTTCCAGAATGGTTCGACAGTCTGATCAGTGTCTATGGTTCTTTCAGCCTTTTTTCTCGTGGTCACAGGATGGCCTCTGCAGCTGCAAATATCACATCCTCACATGGAAACATCTCAGGTAGAAGGATGAGCATAGGTTGGAAAAGATGAAAGATGTTCCTTCTCACACCCCTGTCCTTTAACCTTGGAGGAAAACTCTCTCCGAAAGCTCCAAGCATGCTTCCCACTGCATCTTCTTGGCCAGAACCATAGCTGCAAGGGAGGCAGGGACAGTTAGTTTCTGGGTGAGACAGGCAAAGACCAGGGTTGGGAGTGGCTGGTGGCTGGAAAGTCAGTGATGCCTTGACATTTTCCCTCTGTGTAGTGTCTGTTCATTGGCCTCTCTCTAGAGCAGGAGTTCCCTAAGCACAGCAGCTGGCACCAGGTGCTCTTAAGAGTGCATCCTTTGGAGCCTGACTGCCTGAGTTCAAATCCCAGCTATGCTGCTTGTGGCTGAGTTAACGTTTCTGCACTTCATCATTTAAAGGGGAGAGGCAAGCATTCTCACCTACCTCAGAAGGTTGTTTGAGGAGTAAGCGGGTTCATATATGTGAAGCACAGAATGCCAGTTCTCAAAATTGGCTGCAGGCTAAAATCATATGGGGAGTTTGAAAACTTAATGGTGCCTGGCTCCTGAACTTTACCCTGGACTTTCTCAGGCTGGTTACCTGGGAATTTGGTGCTCTTGGTCAAGTTGACCAGCAGCTGTCTCTCTACCAAGGGCCACAGGGAACCTCTAGAAAGGGGGGTGCAGTGGGTTGGTCCTGGGCACTGGAGAAAGTAAAAAATAGCAAGGCTTCTGTCAGATACAGACAGTGGAATCTAACTGGTCTGGGGTGTGGCTTGGGCTTTGGGATTTTTAAAAGCTTGCTAGATGGCTGCCATGTGCAGCCAAGAACAGTGGCTAGCAGAGAGGAAGCATCCAGTAAAGGTTAGCTCTGATTGGTTTAGTTCATCATTGTGGCCCCAGTCATGAGCCCAAAGCCTGGCACAGAGTGGGCCTTCAATAGCTGTTTGTTGAAAGAATGAATGAAACGTTGGGGACAGGAAGAGGGAGTTGAGGTTGTTTAGTCCGACCCTCTGGCACTGGGATTGCTACCCTGCCCACTTGGTTGTTGCCTTGGTTGGAACATCTCCTGTGGGCTCCAGTGCTGCCTGTTTCCTCCTTCTCCCAACAGGCCCCCAAAGGCTCTGCGCAGACCAGCACTGTCTCCTCCTTCATCCACAGAGAGGATGAAAGAACATGGCAAGAGGAAGACTCACAGAACCCCACAGAGAAGCTTTGAGAATTGGGCTGTCTGGCTCTCCCATCACCCATTTGGCCACCAGCTTTGGTCCCAGCTGCTGTGCCCTCGGGGGATGCATTATGGCCCTGAAAGGGGCCCTTGTCCCTTTTTGGGGTGTCATCCTGGCTGGGTGGTATGGATTTCTGCTGTAAACATGGCCCATCTGGGAGAAGCCCAGGTGCCACGTTTTGAACAGCTCTGAAACTTAAAGCTCAGAAGGCTTTGAAATGCAAATATTTTGAAGGAAACATAAGGTAAACATGAGTGCTTATTTCCCCCTGATGAAAACAATATGCTGTTTGCTCTGAAATGTAAATAGGACCTAGATCGCTTTTAAAGAAAGCCATGTCTCATATTTTTAGGTCCAGGGTAATATCGTTCCTAAGAATATGTGCATCCGGCAGCCTTCCCACCTGCCTGAATCCACACTCCCTTTTTCATTCCTGATGCCCCTCATTCCAGCCATTGCTATCTTCTCCCATAAATATTCCAAATCCACCTCCCCCCTTCCCAATCCGGAATGCCACACTCCCCCGCCACAACCGTCATCTAATTTTTCCAGTACTCTCTGAGTGCTTGGGAGTTCCTTTTGGATAGAATTGGGGAAAAAAAAAAATCTGTAGCCAAAGGCGTTTCACTGACTTGAAAGAGATTTTATGGTGCATTGAGTTCTAATCAACTTTAATAAGTATTTAATGCAGGATGGAGACTTTGCCCTCAGCCCCGAGGCCCAGCCATGCGTGCTCGCGGCCCCCTGTTGGCCATGAGAGTAAGGACCGCTGCTGGGACCGGTGTTTTGGGTGGGCGCGGCGAGTGACAGCTGCAGAGAAACGAATAATTAGCGATTGCAACCCCTGATAATGAGTAGCTCCATGATCCTTCTTGGAGCCATTAGGAACATCTATCTTATTAATGATCCCGCTCGACAGCCACGGGCCCGGGTGCCCGCTCCTCTCTCGCTCCTCATCTGTGCACAGAAAAGCGGAGATGGAAGGTGGTCATTTTTCATCTCCCTTAGTAGTGGGGGCTCGAGCTTTCTAGGCCGGCCACATCCCTAGGGCTGATTGGGATCCACCCATGCCCCATGTACCATTCACCCTGGGCACTCCTCCTGTCGCCAGCAGAGAACACCTTTCATATGTGCCCACCTGGTGCCTCTTGGGCCAGGGGTGCCATCACCCACAGTATGCTCTCTTCCCTCCCTGCCATTTGCCTGGGATTTGCTATGATCACCATATTTGGGCAGGTACCCGCTAAGGGTTCAGGGCCTTATCCAGGTTCACACAGGTAGTAAGGGCCAGCGCCAGGATAGGATGCTTGTCTTTTTTGTGGGTTTTCCTGATGCTCCATGTTGGCCTACTAAGTGAATTCAAGAAATAGCAGCCCTTCCTGGCTGGTTTTCTTAAAGGCGATGTCCAAGCCAGCAGTTGCAGACTGTCTACCAGCTGCATCTGGTTTGTAGGTATGAATCTGTTTGACCTGCACATGTCTTAATAATTGGGAAATAGCCACTTAAATTTCCAGATTTACTGAGAAATTGGAAGACTTGGACACATTAAATTTGTAGTTCTGTATGGCTAGATCTCAGGGGGCACCTGCTCTTTTAAGACAGTTTGCCACAGGTCCCACCACTCCCTATCATCCCATGCCTTGCCTGACTGACTCACTTATGTTACCTGTCTGTTCCCATATCTGTCTGTGTTTGAGCTTGCTGTGTTTGAGATGAGAAAGTCAAGGTAGATAGGTCACGTGACTCGCCTATGCTAGTAAGTGGCAGAATTCGGTTTTAAACTTAGTTTTCTTGGCTGTAGCTTCAGGGCAGTTTTTCATATAGCCAGATAATTCAGTTATCAGATACTGAATGGACGGCGATGCTGAAAGGAGGGTGAATTTTGCAAGTGACCTAGAAATCTTTTCTCTGATTCAACTTCTGGACTATAATAGATGACTATGTCATGAACGAGTACCTGCCCACTTTAACTGGCATATCCCCCTCCTCCTAAACATCCTCCTTCCTCTAGAAGTTTCTGTTCTTGCTCCCTCCCTTAGACCCCTGCAGATTCTGCCATGTTTTTAGAGGACCCTACTTCTCTAGTCTCACTTGATTGGCCTGGACGTGGATATGTGACCAAAGTTGAGCCAATTTCAATGCTTTTTCCCATCTGGCCAGGGATAGTTGGTTCAGGGCTGAGCATTGCATCCAAGTTGTGTGAACTATTTAGACCTGTGATGTTCAAATCTTATTTTATCAGCAGATGCCTTTTCTTAAACAAATGAGATGGGCAATAGAAAACATCTACCAGGAATAACATGGTTAAGGTTGGCATGGACTTGGAATCCCACTCACTTGGATCCCACATTCTACCCCAGTAGTTCTTCAAAGTTTGTGGGAACTCTAGGGCCCCACAGAACACAGTTTGCAAATGGTTTTCCTTGAGAACAAATAAGTGGCAAGATCCCAGCCACCCACTGAACACGCCAGCAGATGCCTTGCTGAAACCATCACCTTGGAGACAAGATGGGCAGAGCTTGAGAAGCCCTTAGCGACTGTTCATTTTTATAGGGTGAAAGCAAGCCTTAGAATGAATATCTGAATCAGTGCTTCAACCTAGAGTTTGAATCTCCTTGTTTTTCCTAAATTTTTTTTCTGGAAGAACCTTCACCCCTCTGTCCCAGCCTCACACCAGTACTCTATCTCCCATCCTGAAATTGCAAGCTTTTAGGGAAATGAAGAATGACTCCACTCACTAAGCAAACAGAACTTGTTACTTAACAAGTGGTAAGTAGTTTAAACATTGCTTTTATGTGAAATGTATACACATAAAACAGAAGAGAATGCAACATTCACCTGAGGCTTCAAAATAAAACATGAAGCTTGAAAGGGATTTGGGGGTTATAATGCTGCTTTGGATAAAATCTTCTGGTGCTCTTGAACAGGGCCCTCAAAATTTCTCTGTAAAAGGCAAGATAGTAAATAGTTTAGGCCATACAGTCTCTGCTGCAATCACTCAACTCTGCTTTTGTAATTAGAAACAGCCTTAGATAACATGTAAAGGAATGGGTGTGGCTGTGTTCCAATAAAACTTTATTTAGAAAAACAGGTGGTGTGCTGGGTTTGGCTGTAGTTGCTGGTCCCTGCTCTAGGTCAATGTGGGTACCCTACTTTGTTTTTATAGGTTTCTTAGTAGACACATCTGAGAGCAGTATATGACACTAACTAGGTATCCTACAATTCATTCAATTCTGACACAAACTTCCTAAGGCAGACCCCGCAAGTTAAGGGCTCAGCCTCCATTTCATATGCACTTCTGTCTGGCCAACTACAAATTCCCAGGTTCCCCTATCCCCAATCCAGGCTTGAATATTTGCCAGAATGACTCACAGAACTCAGGAAAGTGCTATCCTTATGACTGTTGTTTTATTATAAATGATACAAATGAACAGATTCACCAGGCAGGTCTTGGGGGTGAGGGGCCCGTGAAGCCTAAGATACTGACTATCTTGCCCTTTACAGAAAAAGTTTGATGATCCTGAGCAGTGCATCAGGAAATGTTCTCCAAAGCCACATTATACCCCCCAGATACCCCTGAAGTTCAACTGTTTTATTTTCAAGCCTTAGGAAAATATTGCATTCTCTTCTATTTTATGTATATACATTTTACAAACAGAGTGTTGCAGAGCTTCCATGCTCTCTCCCAGTGGAATGTGGGTATGGCACTCTTCCAGCAGTGTGGAAGTTACCCAAATCTTGTTTCAGAGTTTCTATCTGGGGTTTCATTAGTAGGCGTGATTGATGAAATCATTGGCCATGAGATTGAATTCAATTTCCAGCTGCACCCTCTCTCCCCAGGGGTTGGTGGGGGTGGTGAAAGTTCTAGCTCTCTAATCACATGCTTGGTGTATCTGGTGTGGCCAGCCCCTCTCTTGAAACTATCTAAGGGCCCACCTTGAATCACCTCATAAAGTTAGGTATAACCAAAAGGTGCCCATTATGAATAACAAAAGACACTCCTATCACTCAAGAAATTCTATGGGTTTTTGAAGCTCAAAAACCAAATATGTATTTTGTATTATACCACAATTGGCAAATGGATTTTACTTAATTTCCCAACTCCAACTGATTGGTCATGCCTGCTTGGAGTGCTAGGCTGTAGTTTCTGAGGCTGGGTCCAGGTTCACTGGAAAGAGTGCTGTAATCAATTAGTGATGTCTGCCATGGGTAATACAGGAGGCTTTAGCAGCACGTGTGCCGTTTATCTGCCATTCCTAAAGGGAAATCTCTGTATCTGGCACCTGTTTTCCAAACAGTATTTTCTTATCTTCCCAAATTTTGCCTGCTAACCTGTATTTATGCTATCTAGCCTCTCAAAGAGGCTATACTGAGGTCAGATCCTACTATCTTCCCGACTTGATTTTAAGTTTCAGGAGAGCAGGTTTCCTGGTGACCATGCATGAAAACTCCAGTAAGGAATATAGCCAGCATCACTCTGTGTACAGAGTTAAGGCTGCAAGAGGGGAGGGGAAAAGAAGTCAGTGAGAGTGTATAGAGGTCAGCTTCCCTGAGAGGTAGAGGGCTGATCAAGGTCCCGAAGAATGGGCAGGATGGGGTAGGTGGAGGGGAGAGGAGGGTATATGTCAGGAAGTGAGGTGTTGAGGAGCTGTGGGAGAAAGAGCTGAGGGCCAAGTCTTGTCCCCGACTTCAGAGGGCTTGAGATCCAGGTAGAGTTGGTAGCTGTGGGAGCCCTTGTTGTTGCTGGACAGGAGAGCTACATGGGACTATTTTGACATGGGGGAAGATGCATGGAAGGGCATTTCTGGCCAAGCGTAGAAGAACATGAGCAGGAGGAAGTGCTCCTGTTTGGAGCAGCCTGGCCACTGCAGGGAAAAGAACCTCTCCAGGTGCACGCATTGGCCCATTGTGTAGGAGAAGCCAGATCATGCTTACCTTCCATTCCCATGCACCAAGCAATCATCCCCAGAAGTGGGGTCCTCTAAAAACTTGGCTGCATCTGCCAGAGTCTAGTGGTGGGATCAAGGAGAAGAGAAACCTATAGAGGAGAAGGGAAACCTAGAGGAGCGTGTGCCAGATGAAATGAGCAGACATTTTCTAGATATCCTTGTTGGGCTGACACACATGGCTGTGAGGAACGAAACTGTGCAGTAGGAGCTTTGTGATCCGCTTGGCTGACCTGGAGCTGATGTTTGGATTAAGGTCTTTCACCAACTCTGATGAAGCACCTGCCAACATGGTGCTGGTGATGTTCACTTGCACAGCCCATGTAAACCTTTGAGGAGCAGGTACTGCGCCCATTTAACAGATGAGAAAGTCAAGGTAGATAGGTCACGTGACTTGCCTATGCTAGTAAGTGGCAGAATTCAGTTTTAAACTTAATTTTCTTGACTCTAGCTTCAGGGCAGTTTTTCATATAGCCAGATAATTCAGTTATCAGATACTGAATGGATGGCGATGCTGAAAGGAGGGTGAATTTTGCAAGTGACCTAGAAATCTTTTCTCTGATTCATCATCTGGGCTATAATAGACGACCATGTCATGAACGAGTACCTGCCCACTTTAACTGGGATATCCCCCTTCTCCTAAACATCCTCCTTCCTCTAGAAGTTTCTGTTCTTGCTCCCCCGCTTAGACCCCTGCAGATTCTGCCATGTTTTTAGAGGACCCTACTTCTCTAGCCTCACTTGATTGTCCTGGACGTGGATATGTGACCAAAGTTGAGCCAATTTCAATGCTTTTTCCCATCTGGCCAGGGATAGTTGGTTCAGGGCTGAGCATTGCATCCAAGCTGGGCCTATCCCAGGCAAATCTTTGGCCTGAAATTTTTCAAGACGGAGCTGAAAGGGAGTCTCCAGACTCTCCCCACAATGCAGGCTGTAGGGTGTCAAAGCCAGGAGCACCCGGCCTCTGTGTTGCATGCCATGCTGAGGAGCTGGCCTGCAGGTGAGAGGGAATGAAGCCCCTGCAGAGAGGATCAGAGATGAGAGATGGAGGGAGGAGGTTCTGTTCTAATTCTGGTTCCTGTTTCTCTGAGGCCCAGCTGCTTTCTGCCTTTCCTCAGTTGGATCATTGAGCCTCCTTTTGGATTCTGTGAGTGAATACATTCCCCTTTTGGCCTCATCTAGTTCGAGCTGGATTTCTGTCACTGGCAACATGAGTTCTGACTGACACATAGCCCGTGTGGAAGCATCTGCCATTCATATGCGCATGAGATATTTACAGGGCTGGTCCTGCATACATGGCACTGTGCACAGCTGCAAGGGCACTGGGCAGGGGAGCACGGAGAAGTGGAGAAGCGGGTTCTGTTCAGAGATTTGGGGTGCAGACAGGATCCATCTGCAGGGGACAAATTTGTACAGGCTGATCATAGACTCTCAAGGATATAAAGGGACATCCCTGACACCCAGATGTCACCTAGCCTGGGGTTGGACCCATGACCCCCAAAGCAGATTCTAACATGTTATGTCTTCACCTTGAAGGAGGAACATGAATATCTCCAGATCTCAGAGAGGATGTCTGACCCTTGAGCCAGAAGAAGGCCCATTTACTCTGTGTTCACTGATTAATCCTGAATGCCAAATGTGGTGCCTGATACACAGGAGGTACTTCATAATCATAATGTGAGCTGAATGAATGAATGAATGAATGCATAAATTAATGCATGCTCAGCTCCGCTGAGCTCACTCCTCTTCCAAAGCAGTGGAGGAGGATGCAGCCTCTGTCTTAGACATGTCCTAGCAATTCTGGCTTCCTTCCAGAGCCTTCCAATCCTCCCTGTCCCCTGTTCACCTGCACTGCCTCCCTGAAAGGAGAGTTATATAGAAAGAGGGTCAAAGCCCCAAAGCCCGAGGTCAATCCCATTCCTGCACTAAGCCAAGTCCTGCCTACCACTCACACCACGTCTGGTGGTGTCCTGCTCTTCCCTGCTGTCTCTCTGTCTCCTGCATGAATGCACCCCTACTCCCTGCACAGATGTGTATGCAAAACCCATCCTGTCTTGGCATTCACTGTCTTAAAGGCACTCAGTAAATGTTTGCTGAATGAATGTGGAATGAATTAGATTAAACAGATACACTTGCTCTAGCCTCCGTGAGATGGTTTGCTGTTTAAGAGCTCAGCAACTCACAGGGGAGATGTCACCTCAGGGATCGGGATGAAGAATGGACCAAAGTGCTGGAATAGATGGAGGTTCAGGGCACTATGGGTGGGCACCTGAGGGAGGGACTCACAGAGGGGTGGCATTTGCACTGGGCTCAGAGGGAATGAGTAGGAGTATAGCTGGTCAAGAGTATACCTGGTAGGAGTGTATCTGCCAGGATATGTTATGAATTACAGTGATAGGAAAAGAAAATCTCAAACAGAGGTAGGGTAGACTTCAGGGCTGGCTGATTCAGCAGCTCTCAGATGCTACCTGGGACTCAGGTTCTTTCTCTCTCTACTCTGTCATCCACGGTGTTGATTGCATTCTATAGTCAAACAATGGCTGTCAGCAACATTGGGGGCAATGTGTGTCCTAGTCCTTGTCTAGTGGGAGAGAGGGGAATCACTCTTCCAAGCGTAAATTATAATTGGATTGGTCAATTTTGGAAAAGAACCTGCCCCTGGACAAATAAGTCACATGGGAGTTCCCTGTGTTGATTGACTTAGAATAATAGGGCCCACCCCTGGGAAGGATGAAATCAACTGCCCTTGAGCCACTGGGTTGTGTGGGGAATAGCAGGTGGGGGATACCAGAACAAAACAGAGGCCAGACAGGAGGCAGGGAGGATGGGTAGCAATGAAGAGAGTCCACATTGGAGTAGGGGAAGATGCACGGAAGGGCATTGCTGGCTGAGGGAACAGGCCATGTTAAGGGTTAGTGTCAGGACTTCTGTGTTTGGGAGATAATAGGAGCCAAGTGGAGAAGGGGCTGAGAGGCAGATGCCCAAGGGCAGGGCTTGAATGCCATGCTGGGAAATGGGATCTCCCTAGGAGAGTGGACTTCCGTGGACAGGAGAAGGGGAATGAGAAAAATGCTGAGCAAGCCCAATCCCTCCCTCCTTGGGTTCTTGTGGCGGTACCATCCCAGGATTACCATCTGAAGTAGACTGGGTTCTGCAGGTTTAGACAAGGCTTGGGTCTACATTTCCCCACGTCCCCTTCTCTTTGGGGTTCTGAGTTAGGGCTGGCCACATGTGGAGCTGTGGGAGATTTGGAAGGTGGAAGCAGAGAAGAATTAATCATTCTCAGAAGGTCATGGCCATCAGACAGGGTGACAGATGCAGAAGTGCCCACGGGCGTCCAGGGTCCCATTCATCTTTCCAACTCTTGGCCTTGCCCACCTCACCAGTGGGGGGGCCCCGAGCTAGCCACCAAGTGCTGGACTGCAGGTCCCCCAGAGGCAGCAGCCTCCATAGCCCCCGCTTCCTTCCTACCTGCCCCCCTGTTCCCGTGCTTCAGGCTGTTGGTGCCTTCCTCTGGTCCTCTCCCAGACCTTGACTGCCCAGCCCACCCGCATCTGTGTAAGCATAAAAAACTCAAATGCTATGTTAAGACTAGTTGTCTTAACACCTACACATTCACTGGAGTCATCCTCGAGTCATAATAGCTCAGCTTGACCCGATCAGAGAGGCTGAACTATAGCATAACAGCACAGACTGCTGGCTTCAGATCCTGGCTCCCCACCTACCTGCTGTGCAAACTTAGGTGAGTTTTCCATGTCTCTGTGGCTCAGCTTCCTCCTCTGAGAAGTGAGCCTAAGAATAGAACTAGCTGCAGAGAGTGGCTAGAGGAGCCCATGAGTTGACAAGGCAGCACGATTCGCACAGTGCCTGGAACATAGTAGGTGCTGTGTAAGTGATAGCTGTTGTTACCACCTATTTGTCGTGTTCCAGGCAGCAGCCCAGGTGTTCACACAGGTGTTAATTCATTTAATCTCCCCAACAATCCTGTGAGAGTGGTAGTGCTATTAACCCCATTTACAGAGTCACAGAGAGGCTATTAGGTTGGAACATATGAAATTGCTAGTTTTGTAGGTCAAACATAGTTCTGTATCAGCAATTGCATGTGGCTCACAGCTAGCATGACTGCAGGTCTCAAAGCCGGGCAACCTGCCCAAGGCTATGCAGCCTGCACTTTTACTGGAGCACCTACTGGGCACCACAGAGACGGTGTGTCCTCTGTTACAGAACTTATAATATTACAGGAGGGCTGTTTATGTAACAAAGGCTGTGCACATGGAACAGGGAACTACAGACTATTTTCAATACCTTTCCTCTACACCTTCGCTCATTTGGGCATATCAGACATAGACATCACCTCTTCCATGAAGCCTTCCCTAACTTCCCCCACCAGAGAAGTCAACCCCGGCACAGAGTCAGAGGTAGGAGAGGGCCCTGTTTATCTGGGGGACAGTGGGAAGTTTTGTGTGGCTGGAATGTCCACTACTTGAAGAAGAGCCTGGAAAGGGACCCAAGCCAGAGGAAAAGACTTCGGATGACAATGGGGTTTGGCTCCATTGTCACCATGAGAAGGAGCCATCCAGGCCAACTCTTCTTACTCATGAAATGCCACTGAATCTCTTGATCTTCGCCTGCCCTTAGGCCTCCTTGGAAGGTGCTCCTTGGTGAGGGTGCACCCGGGAACCTGAAATGACCTGTCTGGAAAGAGGTGGGCAAGTTTCCAAGCCTGGGCGGCATCACAGGGACTTCCTGGCTTTTGCCTGAGGCTGCAGTCCCTGTAAGAGTGACCCATTGAGTTGGCCTCTGCCCTGGGAGTTTCAGGCGGCCCCACGTCCCACCTTCTGCTTTGCATCCTCTGGATCTAACCTGCCTTCCCAAATCCAGGCCCGTGGCTTTGTTCTGGGAAGCACCATCTCAGCCCAGGCTCAGTGCTGCCCATCCCATCCCCATGTCTGTCCTGTACTCCTCTCTCAGGGTCAGGGCTATTCTCCTCTTATCTGGGGTGAGGGAATCTGACAGAATGTACCAGAAGCCAGGTCTCCCTGAGGGCTTTCCCAGGACTGCCAGGGAGAACTGGGGGTGACCAGGGTCTCCTATTCCCCTGCATGTGTTAAGAACTTTGGGTGTGGTGCTGGGCTCCCTGGTAGGAATCCTGGTCTGGCCGTTCCTAACCAGTTTCTCCTTTGCAAAATGGGGCTTACAGATAGCACTTACTTCCGAGGCCAGTCAGTGTTTAGCAACTGGTCTTGGAGTATAGTTCCAACCTGAAAATTGATTGGTATTTTTCTGTACCTCAATGATTGAGGTGAACGTGAAACAATGAAGATGTAGGTACAGACTTGACACTCACTTGTCAAAAGCATGAGTGACTTTGCTGAATTGGATAATAGATTTTGAATACAGAAAAAAATATTTTGTCGGGGGGGCTACTCACAAACTAACAGCTATAGACCGACACAGGCACACTTTTAAGTTTCATTTGGAAAATTAATATTTTCTCCATCACTTTTTTAAGTCTAGAAAAATCAATAAAAAATAAGTCAAGCCTTTGTCAATTTTCATAGTGACGTCACTAAACATGGAATTGGAAGAGAGGCTTAGTAGGCTTAGTAGCCACCATGATATGGCATTTCCACTGCAGAAATACAACAGAAGCACACGGCCCTGGCAGCATAGAGAACAATAAAGTGCAGTGAGATAATTCGGAAGTGATGAGTTTTGAGGATTTCTTACTTTTGTTTTTAGTATAATTTATTTTTAACTTATGTAATTTAATTTTAAAATAATAGTCATATTTATCACCCAGCTTGTAAAATTCTTGAAAATTTAACAATTGGCTCTTGTGAGCCGGTACAAGCTGGCTCCAGCATGCCACCCCAGGGTTATTACAGGGGGCAAATAATTGAATGTTTTCAAAATGTTCAGAAAACACTGGCATATTGAGTAAGCCCTCCATAAAATGTTAGCCAATCTTCTTACTTACTATTATGATTCTCGATTGGAACTTTGGTGAAGTCAGGGGCTGAGGTTAGGTGTGTTTTCCCACTAGACTAAGTTCCACTTGAGGACAGGGATCTCCTTTTGTTCTCCTGGCATCTAGCATAGGCCTGGCCTGCAGGAGGTGGTGGGCAATGCTCTCTGAGTTGGCATTTTTCCTGCTTGACCTGGATGGACGTCCGTTTCACTCTCGCTCACCTGTGGCCATTTCTGGGTCCTTCCCGGCATCACAAGCCACAGATGCCATCAGGTGGGCCTGTTGGTCTTTCCCTTTTCCTGTTGCCTTGTCAGGAAAATCTCACAAGAAGGTGCATATGTGGGAAGCCCACTTCTCAGGTTCTGACCCAGGAGAGGAATCGAAGGCAGATATTGTCGGCTCCATGCCTGCTTCCTGCTCTTTAAAGAGACCTGGGGGTGTTTACAAGTTTAAAGCCTCACAACATTGGGATTGAAGTAGCATTGCCCCTTTGTATCCACGGGGTCTGCATCTATGGACTTAATGAACTGTGGATCCAAAATACTCAGGAAAAAAAAAATCCACAAAGTTCCAAAAGCAAAACTTGAATTTGCTGTGCTCTGAGTCCTACGCTGAATCCACACGAATGAAGTGATGTGCAGACATTGTATTAGCTATTATAGTATAAGTAATTAGAGATGACAAAGTATAAGGAAGGATGTGCATAGGTTATATGCAAATACTATCCCATTTTAAACCAGGGACTTGAGCATCCCTGGATTTTGGTATCCATGATGGGTCCTGGAACCAATCCTTAGTGGATACCCAGGAATGACTGTGCTTGCAAGAGGTGGCTGAGTTCCCATCTCCCTGCTGAAACTAATGGATGTGCCAACCCTATGCAGGGGAAACATGTACTTAAGGACCCAAATCTTACTGGAGGAGGGACTTGTGAGGAGGGAGGATCAGAGAAGTTTGCTCAGAGTCTGATAAAAGTAGCGTGAATGCTTTTTCCTTTATCCACAAACATTTATTGAGCATGGATCATGCGCCAGGATAGGGCTGGCTTCTGGGGATATGAAGTAAAAATTCCACAGCCTTTTCTCTCAGGGAGATTACATTACAGTAAAAGGAAGCAAAGAGCCTATTGGAAGGGCTGTCACTGGACACAGTATGGAATCCCCCTCAGCAAGTTGCAGCTGCTCAGGTGGGGGCGGTTGGTCCTAGGGAAGCATTGGGAAAGGCTCAGTAGAGGGGTGATGCGTGGTTTGCTTGTTGCAAGGTGGGGAGGTGCTCACCTGATGATTAAGGGACAGAGGCCATGGTGCTGTGGGCAGGAAGTCCCTCATGGACGGGCAAGGCCATGTGGCAGGGACTTATGTGACCCAAGCAAGTGAGAGGAAGGGCACAGGGCAGGGCTTAGCAGAGGAGCCAGGAAGCAGCAACAGAGAAGGGGTTCACCCTTAAAGGAGCAGTCCATAAAGAGATGGCAATGAATAGGTCAGAAGGTGAAGGAAGACAATGAGACAATGATAGGTACCCCAGAGTAGAGCCTAGAGCCTGCACAAAGACAGGTGCAGGCAGCTTATTTGTCAGGTGATCGTGAAAGCTGGAGTGAGGGAGCAGGGAGAGAGAGAGAGAGTGAGAACAGGGGAATAAAGACTGCATAATTACTGTGGGCAACTGATCACAAGCCCAGTAGGACCCTCTAAGGAACTGTGGAGAAGATGCCTTGGAACTCTCCCTCCCAAGGATGGGAAGTTGACTCACTGGCTCCCATCTTCCATTGGTTGGGAGTTGCCCCTGGGGGTGTTAACTCTTCCATGTTTTGGCCATGCTTGTGTTTGAGCCAAGGGGTCACCCTGAGGCAGAAAGGGAGAGAGTCATATCAGCACACTTGAAGTGAAATGTTGGCAGCAGGTATATAGCTGTCTTTCTCAGCTGTGCTGATGTCAGCAGGACCAAAAAGATGTGACATGGAGCACACAAAGTATTTGCTAAAGGAATCAAGGAAAGAGTGAGTTTCAAGGAGAATGGGTTGGCAGGTTGCCTGTCATGGAGAAGTCTTGGATGGAAAGGTCCAGGATGGAAAGAGTTGGGTTTGCATTGGGGCTCAGCAGAGAGGCAGGGACAGAGCCAAGTTGCACTGGGCTGAGGAATGAGAGGGCAGTGAAGAAGCAGAGACAATGGCATAAGTGATTTTTTTTCTGGATTGTCAGCTGTGAAGGAAAGACAAGGAATCTGGCAATAGCCGATGGTAGATACAGAATAAGGAACTCACTGAGGATGAAGAATGTGCAAGGATCAAGGATAATGGTGAACTTTAGGGACTTCAGGGTTTGCATTTCAAGTTTTCTTTCCTTCAGATTGTGTATGTGTGTGTGTGTGCGTGCGTGTGTGCGTGTGTTTGTGTGGGTGTGTCTGTATGTCTGTGTGCTGGACTAAAGAGAGAGAAGGAAAAGTTGCTCTTTTCTTGGGACTGTGGGATGACATGGGCATTGAGGTTGGACAGATTTGATTTAGAATCTTTGGTTCTGCCATAGTGTGATCTGGGCGACATACTTGGAACTCAGTGTTGTTATCTCTAAAATGGGGATAACAATATTTCTCTCCCAGGGTACTTCTGGGCTTGAATAAGGAAAGGTTTGTAGAAGAGTCTGACACAGATTAGATAGTCAGAGCCTCAGCATTGTCTTGAGAGACAGTGTGGTGGTTAAGAGAACAGATTTTTGAACCAGACTGCCTGCCTGGGTTCAGGCCCCAGCTCTATGCTGTCCAGGCTGTAATGCACACAGCGACAGCATTGGCAAGAGTAGGGGTGTGATGAGATGTGAGGCTGGATTGGTAAACACGTCCAGAGAGCTGAGACCAGAGCCCAGGCCAAGACTGGACTTCATCTACCCTGAGCTCTAGGGCCCTGGCCACTGTGCTACTCCCAGTGACTTAGTTTTTCCTCTGCCAGGAGAGGGTGAACTGACACACACCTGTCAAATGTGCGGCTCAGATACCAGCACTCCCTATCTCTAGCAGACATTATCGATGGAACAGACACTTTCTGGTGGAGTTTGGACATTGTCTCATTCAGAGTGCTTCTTGACATGGGCTACACGTGGGCCCTGCAATTGATCAGACTTGCCACATGAGATTTTCCATCTAGGTCTAGGTGAACTCTCTAGATGTTCCTGTTCTTAGACCTGGACAAGCCCAGCTTCTGCCCAGGCCCCATGCTTTACAGGGCCTTTCTCCAAGTTTTCAGAAAATGTATAGCTAATCACGGTCCTCATTTTTTCACTTGGCTGGGTCTCTCCCAACCCTGCAAATCGGGTAGGCTGTGGGATTTGTGTCTATGGGGTTGTTCCTGGTTCAATTCTAGAAGGGCAAAGTATTGAGTAGATTACCTATGTTACCTGGCATGGTATTTCTTCCCTTTTCTTTTAAATAACAGTACTATTAAGATATAGATCACACACCATATAATTCACCCATTTTAAGTGACAGTTCAATGGTTTTTAGTGTATTCAGAGTTGTGCGCCCATCACCACAATCAATTTCAGAACATTTTTATTGCCTGAAAAGAAATCCTGTATCATTTAGCCATCACCCCCTTATCTCCCCTATCTCTCCTAGCCCTAAGCAACCACTACTCTATATTCTGTCTCTACAGAGTTTCATATTCTGGACATTTCATATGAATGGAATAATATAATATGTGGTCTTTTGTGACTGAATTCTTTCACTTAACATAATGTTTTCAAGGTTCACCCATGAGGTAGCACGAATCAGTACTTCATTCCTTTTTATGGCTGAATAATATGCAATTGTAGGGACATATCACATTCTGTTTATCCATTTGTCCATGATAGACCTTCAGGTTGTTTCCAACTTTTGGTTATTATGAATGATGTTGCTATAAACATATATACAAGTTTTTGTAAGGACATAGATTTTCATGTCTTGAGTATATATCAGACTGGTGCAAAAGTTATTGCGGTTTTTGCCATTACTTTTGATGCCAAAAGCGACAATTACTTTTGCACCAACCCAATAGGAGTGGAATTGCTGGGTCATGTGTTACTTCTATGTTTAATCATTTGAAGAACAGTCAGACTCTTCCAAAGTGGCGGTACTATTTTCCATTCCTAAAAGCAGTGTATTTAGGGTTCTAATTTTTCTGCATGCTGTCCTACCCTTACTATTATCTGACTTTTTGATTCTAGTCATCCTAGTTGGTGTAAAGTGGTATCTCACTGTGGTTTTGATTTGTATTTCCCTCAATAATGATATTGAGCATCTTGTCATGTGCTTATGTGCTTGTTGGCAATTTATAAGTCTTTTTTGAAGAAATATCTATTCAGATCCTTTGCCCACTTTTAATTGGGTTGTCATTTTATTACTGAGTCATAAAACTTCTTTATATATGCTATATACAAGTCCTTTATCAGACATAGAGTTAGCAAAAATTTCCTCCTATTTTGTGAATTGTTTTTTCACAGTCTTCATGGTGTCCTTTAAAGGACAAAAGTTTAAAAATTTTATGAAATCCAATTTTTCTATGTTTACTTTTGTTGCTTGTTCATTTGGGGACACATCTGAGAAACCATTGTCCAATCCAAGATCATAACAATTTGCCCTCATGTTTTCTTCTAAGAGGTCAATAGTTTTAGCTCTTCTGTTTGGAGTTTTGATTCACTTTTAGTTAATTTTTTCCATATGGTTTGATGTAGGGATCCAATTTCATCCTTCTGCATGTTGTCCCAGCACCATTTTGTTGAAAAAATTATTATTTCTCCATTGAATTGTTTTGACATCCTTGCTGAAGATGAATTGACTTTAGATGTGAGGATTAATTTCTGGATTCTCAAGCCAGTTAAATTAGCCTACATGTTTATCCTATGCTGGTACCACACTGTCTTTATTACTGTAACTTGGAAGTAAGTTTAAAAATCAGGAAGTGTGAGTCCTCCAACTTTGTTCTTTTTCAATACATATTTTTTTCTATTCCAGGTTCCTTGAATTTCTACGTGAATTTTAGGATCAGCTTGTCCATTTCTGCAAAGAAGCCAGCTGAGCTTTTGATTGGAATTGCATTGAATCTGTAGATCAATTTGGAGAGCATTTGCATCTTAACAGTATTAAGTCTTCTCATCCATGAACATATTATATTTTTCCATGTATTTAGATCTTTAATTGCCTTCAACAATGTTTTGTAGTTTTTAGAATATAAATCTTGCACTTCTTTTGTTAAATGTATTCCAAAGTATTTCTTTTGACACTATTGTAAGTGAAATTGTTTTCTTAGTTTCATTTTCAGATTGTTCACTATATGATATCACTTTTGTGGCATAGCATGTGATTGCTCATGAATGGTGCTGATACACTGATTTTTAATGACTTGTTTAGATAGACAAAAACTTCAAAATAAGATCTGCCTTATGCACACTAGGAGCATCCTAGCATCTTTGAATTCTGAGACGTCATTTTATTACAACAGTTTGTTTATTGATTTATTTGTCGAGGGCCCCCTGTGGGCCAGACATTCTTTTAGGAGTGAGAGGCACTGCAGTGGGTGCGGCAAAGTTTCTACCCCTGTGGAGCTTGTGTTCTCATGGGGAAGACAGACAACAAACTAACCGCTAACCAAATACTTAATATAATTTCAGGCAATCACAAGTCCTTTGAAAGAAAATGAATTAGCCTTAGGATACAAAGTTCAGGGGTACAATGTCAGATTCAATGGGATGGTGGGGAAGGCCTTTCTGGGGAGGTGACATAGGGACAGAATTAAGTGCAGGGTGAGCTGTGTGGAGAGCTGGGGAGGACAGTAGGCACCAGGCCCTGGGTGGGAACACACTGCAGGGGATGGGGGACCGTAGGAGAGCCAGCGTGGCCAGGGTAGAAGGGAGCTGAGATGGGGAGAGGAGCTGAAGAGTTAGGCAGGGACCAGGCCACGAAGTCAGATGGGCCATGGTAAGCACTGTGGCTTTTACCCTGAGTGTGATGCCAAGTCATTGGAGAAATTACCAAGAGCTGCAGGAGTCAGGGAAGGTGTCTTGAAAGTCAAGGAGGTAGGTGAGTTCTGCAGGGAGAATCTGCATGCGCAAAGCCTTCAGGGTATGGAGAGCCAGGCAGGAGCAACAGCAGGAAAAAAGGTATGGGAAGAAGCTCAGCCTGATTGAAGCAAATGGAGTACATTCTGGAGCAAGACAAAAGAGAAAAGGGGGGAGGGTTGGCATGCTCTCTGGTTGTATAATGGTCTATCCAGAAGGTAGCTTTGGTTTTAGCCCAGAGTTTAGCCCAGATTCAAGGCTTAGGAAACCTAGAATTGAGCTTTGGCTCTGACGTTGACTTGTTATATGACCTTGGGCAAGTCATCTCCCTTCTTTGGGGCTTGATGTTGTCATCTGTACAATGGGTGCTTTAGAACAAGAACAACCTCAAGTGTGTTGCCCCTGTAATGCATATCTTTGGAGACTGCTTGATTCACCAAACCCTGGACGAGAGCCCTTGCTAGGAGAGAGGCCTTCTGTTAGCTGAGCTGGTCTATAGCTTCTCTAAGCTCAGATGCTTCCTGCCCTGAGGTTTGGCAGGGTGACAGGGTAGAGTGTTACTATGATATATCTCTCCCTTTCATCATTGCCAAGCTAATGTGATAGCCTGTGGCTGGTCTGTAGGGCGGCTAAGCTTGCAAGGAGCTAATGCTGGAAATGCTGGAAGTAAGTGTGGCAGAGTTGATAAGTGGTAGAGAAAGGAGATGGAGACAGGTTAAACATAGCAATGCCAGGCCCAACTACATCGTGTCCTCCCAGAAAAAGTTGGGAAGCCCTCAGACACTGACTGGTCCACCTCCATTGGTTTGCAGAGAAAGTGGACAAGGTCCAGAGAGGGAATGACTTCTGCTTTAGGTCACCCAGCAAATTGGAGGCAGAATAGAAACATGGTTCCTGGTTCTGGACTCGTGGTCTTTCCACTGCACCCCACTGCTTCTGGCAAGTTGAAAGCCAATGCCCTTTGGGCAAGGAGAATTAACAAGAGGTAGAGAGAGGAATGTGTCTGAATGTTGGTTAGTTGGTAGGAGAAACAAGAAGTGAGCAGCCTCCTGGTGGTTCTACTTCTCTCTGATCAGGACACACTAGCACAGAGGTGCAGACCCTTGCTCTAGCTGCACCTGCCCTGGAGCCAGCAGCAGAGGGTGCTCAGGAATCCTGAGAAGCCAGCCTGTGAGCCCTCGCTGTGCCACACCTCTGTACCCACCACAACCTCTCCACCAGCGTGATCTGGCCCATGACACTTTCTGCTCAGAAATCTTTCCTTTGCTCACTTGCAGACAGGACTGGGGCAGGACTGTGGCAGCCTCTTCCCTGGGCTGCTCTATTCAGACTCTGGGGAACTTGTAGATGATGAAATTGGGAAAATAAAAGTTGTCCTCATTCTGGTCACCACTTTGGGAACACAGTTTTGGGAACACTTGAGAGAGGGGCTGATTCGTATGCCTCTGACAGACTGGCCCAGCACCCAGGAGACCGCAGCCTCCTCCATGCCAACCATGGCACCTGCTGGCATAGTCCACTAGTGCCCCAGTGACATTTGCCACTTTTCAGAGTCTTTCCTCACTCTTTACCCTCTTTAGGCCTTAGCCAGTCTGCTTTGCCAACTTGGGTGTGGTGGCTACTGTCTTTGCTCCAGCCCTTAACCTTGCGTTCTCCTGTCCTGACCATCTGCTCCTCCTAGTGACCATGGGGGCCATGGACCCCAAGCCAGGCCAATCAGATCCTTTCCCTGGGACTTTTTGCCACTTGAGCTGGCCCAAAAGAGCTTGTTATCCTTTTTCATACAAAGCTGTTTAGATATAAGCCAGAGATGCCTGTGACTAGTATTTCAACCTCCTGAAAAGCTGAAACTGGAAGAATAAAGTCAGCTGTCAGAGAAAGAGATGGAGGTTAGATAAAGCATCCTAGGGTGCTTGGGTGCCTGAATCCCACTGTACCTGGACCTCCCCTCTTTTTTGAGAGAGCTGGTGAACTTGAGTTTTTGTAGCAGCCAAAGGAACTCTGACTAATCTGTGGATCTGATAACCCTGGCTTGGCCTTTTCATGGGTTGTGAGAATCTGATGACCTGTCCGTGGTCCAAAACCAGCCAGGGGTAGATCTTCAAGAAGGCTTCCCCATCCCAAACTCCTTACAACAGCCATTCCACTCATCATGTGGAAAAGTGGGTAACCAGAAAGGACAGGAAAGGTGGGGACACATAATTGTTGGGGCTTGACATAGGCTCTCTCATCTCCACACAGTTAATATGGTTTTACGATAAAACAAAGAAATAAAATCCTATTTTATAAATTTAAAAAATCAAGACCATGCTGCTTGGTTCCTTCAGGCCCTGGGGAGTCTGTGTCTCAGCTCAAGTGGCCAGCTGGACAAGATGGGTGTCACCCTGGCCAGCCCCTGGACCAGCCTGCCTCAATCTCTGGCAGGCTGATGCCGTGGGTTCAGCCTACAGAGTCTCCTCCCTGGACATCTCTCTGGAGATTCAGGGTTGGCCAGGGCCTTGTGTGATAAGAATCACTGAATGTCAGTGCCCAGAGGAATCTTTGAGATGGAGAATGGAGCAAGGCATGAGACAAAGACACTTGGCCAGGTTCACACTGCTGTGTGGCTGCAATATGCTGGGCACAGAAACAGACGCAGGGAACCTTGGCTTAAGAGCTCCCACCACTGCTGCTGTATGCCACACTGCTTCCTGCCTGGTCCATCAATGTCCCCAGCAGGTGACCTTGGACAGCATCCCAGGAGCCAAATGTGGTCCCAGGGTCAGACTGACATGACAGGGAAGATCTATAGGTCTGGTGGAAGCTGCTTGGTGGCATCTCGCCCAGGAGTATCTAAGAATATAAAAGGGTTAGATTTGGGGATATGTATTTTAGCAGATTCTGAAACTTGCCTCTTGTATTTTTGTATACCTATACTCTGCTTCATGAGCTCAGATATAAAATCTAGGTCTGTCTTCTCTCCTAGTGCCTCTGTTGCTTGAAGATACAGAACTTCCTTCAAAGAAATAGGTGAATGGCCCATGCAGTAAATGCCCCCAGGACTGAGGTGATAAGCTCCTGGCTTTTCAGTAGACCTTCTGCTTGGCCATGCTTTGCAGGCTTCTGATCACTAGTCCAGGTGACTGGTTGAGGATGAAAAAGTCACCTCTTAGCCTCCTCCATTACTCCTCCATGACTCCTCCATGCTGTTTTCCTCAAGAAGGAAGCTCTGACCTGCTGGGGTACTCGTGGCTTACCAACACCAAGCCCTCTGTTTCACTTTTCTCCTTGCAGGGGCCTTTCTCTGCAGCGGTCCTTCTCCTTGTCCGTTGGCCTGAAGCCTGACCTTTGGTAAGGTCTTCGGCCAGAATGGTATCATGAGAAAGATAGGCATGAGGTGTAGTTGAATACTGTACTGAAACTGAAAAACAGAATGGTTGCATAGGTATTTTAAGTCCAGTTTCTTTTTTCTTTTTTTTTTTGTTTTTGAGATGGAGTCTCGCTTTGTCGCCCAGGATGGAGTGCAGTTGTGCGATCTTGGCTCACTGCTACCTCTGCTTCCTGGGTTCAAGCGATCCTCTTGCCTCAGCCTCCCGAGTAGCTTGGATTACAGGTGCACACCACCACACGTGGCTAATCTTTTGTATTTTTAGTAGAGATGGGGCTTCACCATGTTGACCAGGCTGGTCTTGAACTCCTGACCTCAAGTGATCCATCCACCTTGGCCTCCCAAAGTGCTGGGATTACAGGTGTGAACCATTGTGCCAGGCCTTCTTGAAGTCCAGTTTCTACTGACCATGTATCACTTTCTCACCATCATAAAATAAAATAATCAGTACGTCAAACTATCGTATATTGGAGACCATCTACATCATATACGTAGACATATCACATACATATACATACATATACATATATGATGCACATGTATACATCATATGCAGTGATGTACTTATTTCTTGATCCAAGTGTTGGTTAAATGGGGATATTCAGTTTGTAAAAAATTAGCAAACTATAAACTATAATCTTGTTATAATGTGAAAAAAAAAGAAAGGCATGAGGGAGGCAGAGCACCGGCCTTGGAGTCAGAACATCTGGGTTTGAAATCCTGACTCTACTGAATATTTGCTGAGCCAAGTTACTTCACTTTCTCATCTTCCCTACCTGTTGCCCTGCTGTATGGGGCTGATTACACCTCCTTCATGCCCTTGCTCATTAGGAGAGCTAAATGCCAGGCGGCAGGGGGACGAGGTGGTGTGCAAAAGCTTGGGTCACAGAGCAGATGATCAGGAGGTCAATGCCTGGTGCATTAGGCCACCCCAGCACTTCTTGCAAGAAAGAACACAGGAGAGCAGCAAGCCAGAGAGAGCTGAGCTTTTGCTGGAGTCATGTGACAGGCAGGACAGTGACTGAGGATTTAACGAAAGGACAATTTGAGCACCTCCAGTTCCAATGCCAATGAGTGCCTCTCCCTGTGTCCCCAGGACCGGGATGGTGCTAGCTGTTTGTGAAGTGCAACTTGTCCCCAGTAAGCATCTGTTTTGCTTCTCTCAGCACCAGCCCTTCAGGAAATTCTTGGCAGGCCCCCTGTGTGCTCCAAAGCGACGCCTTCCCAGCTCACTTTGGCTGCCAGCAGCCTTCCAGCAGGGGCTTCTTGCTCTGAATCCTAACACGAGCTTCAGCAGGGGCTTTAGTTGCTGCACTCAGCAGGGGACAGGAAGGGATGGTGGTGGACGGAGGGTGATGAGGCAGGGGGCCTTGTTCAGGGTTTCTGGGATGCTGCGGCAGACAGGGTCTGTCTGTGCATGTCTGCGGAGGCTGGCTCATCAGCCTGCAGGCCGGCCTAGTGCCTCATTTCTCAGTCAATGCCCCCAGCACTTGGTGAGCTGGGTCGACAGCGGGTGCAGCCACTGAGACAAGCAGCCAGATAGCTACTGGTCATGTTGCTTCAAGAAAAGGAAGTTAGGCCAGCCACAGTGGCTCACTCCTGTAACCTCAACGCTTTGGGAGGCAGAGGCAGGAGGATCGCTAGAGGCCAGGAATTTGAGACCAGCCTGAGCAAGACCCCGACTCTAAAAATTTTTTTTCTAAAAAATCGGCTAGGACTAAACATGTATCCCAGCTACTTGGGAGGCTGAGTGGGAGGATCACTTGAGCCTTGGCGTTTGAGGCTGCAGTGAATTCTAGCCTGGGTGACAGATTGACATCCTGTGTCTAAGAAAAGGAAAAAGAAAAGACTGTTAAGAATCTCAGTGATGCAGAGGCTTATAATGGGCGCTTGGGCCTTGCCTCTTCTTTATTCATGTGCTCACATGTAGTCATTCCCTGCCAGCCTCTAGTTCAGCCCCTGGGCACTCAGTCAGGGACAGGAAGCATGGCCCCTGCCTCTCTGATGCCCTTTGCAAAGACCCTGTCATGTCTCTGCCTGGATGACAGCCACAGCAGGGCAAGCCACGTGGTGGAGCAGGAAAACCCTGCAGCCAGACTGCCTTGGCTCAGCTCTCAGCTCGACCACTCCTTTGGGTTCTGATTTAGGGCAAGAAACTTACCTTCTCTGTGCTGCGACCAGCCTGATCAACATAGTGAAACCCCGTCTCTACTAAAAATACAAAAAATTAGCTGGGCGTGGTGTCGGGTGCCTGTAATCCCAGCTACTCGGGGCGATGAGGCAGGAGAATCGCTTGAACCTGAGAGGCAGAGGTTGCAGTGACTGAGATTGCGCCATTGCACTCCAGCCTGGGCAAAAAGAGTGAAACTACGTCTCAAAAAAATAAATAAATAAAGGAGGGTGGGGGATGACAGCAGTCCCTAATTTATATAGTTGGCATGAAGTTCAATAGGTTAATGAGTGCAAAGAGTGTGAAATAGGGCCTGGAATCTAGTCCATAAGTAACAAAATCATAATGACTCGGTTGTGCTACCTCTTGAGTCACCTTCTTCTAGGCTATCTCCATCACACAACCTTAGCGATCTTTCTAGGTCAGTCTGATCATAGTAAAGTCATTCAGAGGCTCCGTTGAAAGTTCAAACCTTTCCATGACCTTCAGACCCCTGCTTTCCTCCTCTTGATCACCTTTCCAAATGGCCATGCCCACTTTTCTCCTCTCTACCTTACAGACACTGCAGATGGCCTGCCATTTGCTAAACTTGCCACAGCTTCTCATCCTCTGCTGATCCTGGGGGACCTCTCCTCTCTCCTCCTTACCTCCCTGGAGTCCTACATGGGTTCTTCAAGAGGCCCTTCAATTTGTATTTGAAGGTAGAGAATCCTTCCTTGATTTCTCCTTCTCTAGCCAAAGCCAGCCCCTCCTGTGACCTCTCCCATTGACTGTCTACCCCAGGTCTTCTGTGCTAAGCAGTGTGTTGTAACCGCCCGAGTAAGCATATGTCTTCCATTGAACTCAGTGTCCTCTGGCCATGTCGGAGTCCTCTCTGGGCTGGCATGAGTAGACCCACAACAAACAGTTGTTGAAGGAATGAATGAACAAGATGCTTGGTGAATGCTTGCCAGATTAGAATGAAGAAGCTGCTAATCTCCTTTTGTCCTTACTACAACCCTTAAAGCAGATGGGGAGACACTAGCAGCCTGTTGGGACTTAGCTGCTACTTTGTTGGTATAAGTGACAGCTGGCTGGCCCCAGGCAGCTGCAAGATATGGCCTGGTCCGACTCTTTGGACAGTGCTTACTCTTCTCCCCAGTTAGCACGCGTTCTGTTGCCTGGGAGGGGTAGGTTGATGCACATGAAACATAGAACTTTCCAGAGATGCTCACCACACTGTCACCATGCCACATTTCCTTCTGCAGTGTGAACTTGCCCCTCCCCCATGAAGATGCAGACTCCCATCTCCCCCACCTTGAATGTGGGCTTGAGCCTACTTGATCAATACAGTGGGATGGAAGGGATGTTCTGAGACTTCCAAGGTTAAGCCATAAGAAGCTTTGCAGCTTCTGCCCGGGGCCTTTAGAATTCTCTCTTGGGATGCTCCTTCTGGGAAGCCAGCCTCCATACTATGAGATGGCAAAGCCATAGAAGAGGCCATGTGTAGGTGCTCTGGTGGACAGCCTCGGCTGAGTTCCCTGCAACAGCCCAGCCACGTGAGTGAGCCTTTTGGGATACCCAGATGGGCCAAACCTTCAGATGATGCCAGCCCCAGTGGACATCTGACTGCAATCCCATGTGAGACCTGGTGCGTGAGCTGCTCAGCTGAACCCAGTAAACCCGCAGAAACATGAGAGATGGTGATAAATGTTTGTTTGAAGTCACCAAGCTTTATGGTGGCAACAGATAAACAACACCAAGTTGGACTTGGTGCCAACTGGAGGAAGAAGTGACTGCTGACCACTTCTCTGTCTCCAAAGGGTGACTCCAGAGAGCCCCCAGCCTATGATTTCTCAGGATGTAGAGGAACGGACTTGGAGGTGGGAACCACATGATCTCCATTGTAAGGCCCACTAGCCTCTGAGATGCTTTCTTCAATTTGCACACTGCTCTGGGGCAAAAGACAGAGGGAAGGTTGGGACTGTTTCAAGGTCTAGTTTCCTCAGACTGTGGGGAATAACTAGTTTCAAGTGCACAGGTATAATGCCTTTACACACACCCTACATCCTGGTCCCTGTATGGTCTACTCCATGAAAATGGTCTAGATGCTTAGTACATGGAAGACGGAAGCAAGGAAATGGTGATGGAGCACCCATTCTGTGCCAGGTGGCTGACCTCCATTATTTCATTTGCTCTTCACAACAATTTGATGAGAGTAGAAGTATTATCCACATTGCACAGATGAAACTCGGTCAGAAAGGTTCAGTGATGTGTCCACACAGCAAGCAAGTGGCCAACCTGAAAAAACCCAGGCCGGCATCTCTACTGTTGATGACTTATGAATGGTCTCAAAGATACTGGGAAGATTCCCAGGGCTGTGCTTCATCCCCAGCTGCTGGTCAGGGCCTGAAATCCCCTCATTATTGCTTTGCTACTTTAGCTTAAATCCTGGATCCTGCCAGTGCCAATCCCTCTGGAAGGATGATGCATTACAATGTTATTAATCACCTACCCCAGGCAGACTGAGGTCCATCGTCTCTCCTGAGAGTCTGTTTTCATGGGAGGGAATGTGGGGTAGAGGCGCTGCTTTCAGGGACGGAAGAGAAACAGGTGGGGTCATAACACGTTCCTAGTTCAGGCTTTTCTCCATTCTTTCCAGATGGACCTTGATGGTGGGCTTGGAAAATCAAGATGATAGATCCTTAGTATGGGGCATGGGACAAGCCCCAACCCCTGCCTGAGACTGGCCTTCGCCAAGCCCAGTGGCAGCTCTAGAAAATATCTCTTTCTCCAGCTAATGAAGTCCATCCCTGGAATGAGCATGGGCACATTCATTGTCCTCTTCAGCTTCCTTCACATTTGGCTGGTTTCCCTTCAAGACTCCTGGGAGAGGCGTGTTTAGTTCTGGGCTCCAAACTCAAGGAGTGGCATTAAGCGACTGGTGCGAGGCCAGAGCAGACAGCCAGGCTGAGTGGGGAGGGAATGCCGATTCCTGATAGAGCAGTGCAAGGGTTCTCCAAGGGGAGGAGACCCGGGGGCTGGAGAGCTGGTTTCCACCCTGAGGATACCGGGTGGCTGAGTGCATTGCTGGACTTTGCCCATGCTCCTAATCCTTCTCTTTGGGATGGTTCCAGTTCTGGGGAGGCAGAGGCTACTTCACATGGGTGATCATGATGGGGAGTGACTACCTTGTCACTGGAGGTGGCTGAGCAGAAGACCTAACTGCCCATCTAGGCTCTGCAGAGAGGCTCCCACGGAAGGAGAAGGGACTGGGTGACCTTGGAGACCCCTTATCATGTTTCATTCCCAGGCTCTGAGAAAGGACAACCCCATCCTGGTGCAGCAAGATTTTAACCCCCTGGGGTAAAAGGGGGGGAACAAATTGTTGTGGCTGTCCCGGCGCTCACCAACCCTCCCGGCTCCCTTTACTCTGCTCTTTGGAGGTCTAACTTCCCTTCGGCAAGGAGCCCTTGCTCCTTTCTTTTCTCCCTTCCTGCTTTCCTTTCATTCATTTAACAAATTCTTGTTCAGCAAATTCTTTCTTGCAATGCCTCCTAGGATATTGGGCAATGCGCTTAGTCTTGGGGGACCCTGGAGTGAGGAGAATGAATACCGCCCCTGCCCTTATGGAACAGCAGTGGGGAGCGCCTGTGGAATAGGGGAGTGAGATGGATTATAGAAGTCTTGGGGGAAATCCAAGAAGGTTCAAAGTGAGGGCCGTGTTCAGGTAGGAGATGGTGTGGTGTGGGCTGGGAGGGTGGCAGTGAGGCCGGGGAAACTGGATGGAGTCCAGAGACAGAGAATAGGAGAATTCATCAGTGCTTGATGGAATGTTGGCTGTGGCAGGCAGGTGAGGAAGACGGGGTGTCAGAGGACTCCTAGGTCGCTGGCTAGAGCCCCTGGGTAAGGGAGGGGGCCAGTCCCAGGGATGCCTCACCGCAGCGATGGCGTGGCTGGCAAAGCTACCTCATGCTGGGGAAGGCTTCTGTACTAACGTTTCATTTCGGGCAGGTCTAGGAACAGCGACCATGCATTTGCTCACATCCTCTCTCCAGAGCCTGTCCGCATCCCTTCTGATCTTCCCGACAGCTCCCAGAAGCAGGTCTTTTTCTTAAGATGCCTCCTAGGTGCCTGCCCTCCTTTCTGCCGCTTCTCTGCTCATCATTGCAGAGGAGCGGTGATTGACACACCTAGAGGCCAATGAACTGCCTAGCTCCACCCACCACTCCCAGGTTCGCTGAGTCCCTCCCCAGCTCTCTCCTGTTCTCCTCCCGCAAGATCTCTCACGGTATCAAAATACCAGACACGATCCAGGGCAATAACAGGCCTGATTTCCACCTAGGGAGACAAGGGAGGGCCCAGCTGGGCCTCTTCACAGCATCCGTGATCGACCCCACCTGGCTGGATGTTGCGGGGGCGGCAGGGCAGTCTCAGGCTTCCCGGCCAGAGCCTGCAGCCGGGAAACATTCCTGCCCCGTTTCCATGGCTGCCAGTCGGGCTTGAGCCACTGGGGGCTGGGGGAGGGGCTTTGACTGGGCCTGCCTGTTCGACTTTGGGGGATTTGGTAGTTCTCCCTCTCCAGATTAGCTCATTGTGAAGCTGCTCTGAAGAACTCCCCTTTCCAGCAGCCAGTGTGCATGAAGCCAGTTCACTCCCTCCTGGGGGTCCCTCCCTGTGGGCGCGAAGCTCGTGAACTCCTGAGTCCCCCTTCCTGTGGATGTGAGGTTGGGGCACCCCTGGGCACTCCTTCCTGTGGATGTCAAGACAGTGCACCCCTGGGTACCTCTGCCTGTGGGTGTGAAGCTGGTGCACCCCTGGGTCCTCCCCGTGTACTCTGAGGCACTGGGATCCTGGTTTCAAGGCTTGCTCAGTCATCTCTGGTGGTGTAGGTCTTTGTGTTCAGTTTTATAAGTGGAGAAAACTGAAGATGATTCTGTTTACCTTACCCACCCCCTCACTTACCTCACCTAGCTCAGGGGCTGGGTATGGGGTGGTCTCAGCCCAGGACAACCTTTTAAATATTAAACATGGTACCATGCGATGTTTGTCATACTTATGACCTGGAGAAATCAAATGCGATTACTCAGCCATCTCAAATGGGGCAATGTGTATGCTAACAGCTACCCCTCCCGAGGGCATTTCACACATGCTACCTCCTGAGCTTCACTGAGACCATCTACAGGCAACAAAACGGATACACAGAAAGATGGGTGGCTGGGCTCACTGTGGCCTGCAGAGGAAATATGAGCTTGACGTCATCCCCAGCTGGTTCTGTATCTGAACACCGAGCACGAGGAAGTGATGGTGGCCAGGCCGGTCTGTACCTGGGCTCCTGCGCTCTGCCGCAGCCCAGTCAGTGTGGTTGGTGCCTGGTATCATTCCTATGTAACAGAGACAGACCAGAGAGGGAAATAAACTTGCCCAGGGCTGTGCAGCTGCTCAGTGGCATAACCAGGACTGGAACTCATGTCCTCTTCGTCACTCTCAGGTGCTCATCCCACTCATCTCAGCAAATCACATAAAGCTCTCGGTGGCCTTAACACCAGGTCAGGAGGACTAGAAGGGGTTGGCCACGAGACAAGGAGGAAGTCATTGAGGGGTGAAGCTGGAGACCAGCCTTGAGTCCTGGCTTGTTACTGGTGTGACCTTGAGCAATTTGCCCTCCTTCTCTGAGCCTCCATTTCCTTGGGTGTTGCCCAGGGATGCTGATCTGTGGCCAGCTTCCCACAAGCAGTTGCTCTGAGGACAAAGACGTGGGATGGGAGCTGGCTCTGTGGACAGGCAGGGGCAGCTCCCCCCTGCTCCCCTGCCATGGAGCTCCCTTGTCCTGGGTGAGTCTTGGCCAATGCCCCAGAGCCCTGCACAGTCCCAAGCTACTGTGGGAAGGCAGGGAGCTGGCTTGTGCCTCCCCAGTGTCGACACATCCGTTCTCAGGGGCTCTGAGATGGCCTCTCTTGGCCTGGACGTGCCACAAACAGTGCCCTCTCCCCTGCCTGTGTGTGTTTTGGGGCTGGCTGGCAGGCTCAGGAAAGCAGCCTGGCCTTATCAGAAGCCCTGGGTCTCCAGTTTCTGGGAACTGTCTCCGCTCTGTGGCTTTCTTTCCCAGGTGCTGGTGCCAAGCAGGCTCAGTCTGAGCGTCTGGCGGGGTTCCAGGCATTCTGTGTCAAGCACTTCTCAGCAGCAGGAAGACCAACTTCATGGAGGCCTGAAGGGACCCAGCAAATGACCTCTGTCTGCATGGCCCTGGCTTAAAAACAGGAGCATGGTTGTTAGCGCCCCCTAATCCACACAGGGGACCAACTCCTCCTAGTTGTGTGGGCTGGGCTGGGAACTCACACCAATGCCTGTTAGCCGCCTCTAGGGAGGGGACCTGCATGGAAGTGTCATCCTTTAGGAGGCATGACCAGGTGCACCGTCTCCATTCATGCTGCACAGGGATGGAGGCTCGGCGCAGAGACCTTGCTGGCCTGTGTTCTACAACTCCCATCACCCAAGAGAGTCACTCCACATCCCTGCGAGATGGGGATCTTGACTGTCAGTTAAGATTGAGACAATGGAGGTGCTATGAGGTTGAGAACTTCTCAGTCAATCAGCCATGTGTGGCTGAGCCAGGTTTGAAGCCAGGCAGTTGGGGTCCAGAGCCCAGTTCCCACCTTAACAGCACAGGAGGGGGTCCTAGGTCTTCTGGTCCCACAGCAACCTCCATGCCCCTGCCCCCTCCACTCCCTGACTCCCTAGGAGTGCAATGCATCTTACTGAGGTGGAGCTGGCTCAGCTCAGTGTAGGTGCTACATGTATAGATGCCAGGTGGGTTTATGTTAGCTAGGGTGCCCACAAATAGGGTCCAGGTACCAGGGGCAGGGTGTCTCAGAAGAGTTGGCAGGGATATAAGGGACTATGTGATAAGGAACGAGGGCCCTGTATACTACCCAGCTTGAGGTCTTTGTGGGGGACAGGGTCTCAGCCCTCTGTTCTGGTCCCTTGTGTGGATGAGCAGTGTTATCTGTAGATACCTGGAGCCCAGAAGGTGGGAGAGGTGGCAGTCCTCGGTGCCTATCCACTGTCCTCTCCTGGCAGACTCCCCTCCTGGCAGAGCCTCTCTCCAATGCCCGTGACTACTCAATCATCCTCTTTCTCTTGCTTGAAAATTTGATGGGACAACTCTGCATGGCTTTCTTGGCTCTCCACACTGCCCCCCTAGCCGAGGTCCTCACTGCTCTTTCCATGCTCCAGGCTGATCTTCTCCATCTCAGTCCCTGCCTTCCCTCCTCTGTGCCTTGGTCCCAGAAGCTTCCCCAGTCAGGCCACGTTGGAGCCCATCTTTAAGGAGGAGACCTCTCCCCTACCCTGGGCTCCTTCAGCATCCTAGGCCACTGGGTGTGAAGTGACCGAAGGGAGTACCATGGGACAGGCCTCTGGGGCCCTTTGCCTTCTCCAGACCATGAGATCCTGGAGGGCAAATTCTACAGCCCATTCATTTTCAGTTTCCCAAAATGTTTGTGGATTACATGGATGAAGGAAAGCATGCATGAGCCAAGAATGGAGGCGATGCGATGGGTCTGGGAACCGGGAGACGCGAGTCCCTTTCCCTTCAGTGTCTCAGGAGGAGAGTGGGGAAGATGCCATGTGCCCTGAGATGATTTTCTTGGATTCCTTGATGGGCCACCCTTTGGGGAACATTTGCATTTTAACATTGAGGGGAGCTGGCAAATGGTAGTGGATTTTGGGTGCTGTGGCACCCATTGCAGAGGGCTCTCTGGCCGGCCTTGCTCATGCTGTGGGCGGGTCCCTTGTCTGGGAGTTTCTGCGCTCCTGTGCTGGCTCCCACGATGTCCCCCTTTGTAACCCCTCTATCCGGCCTGTTCAGGGAAGCATGAGCTCTTTTCTTTGCTCCAGCTCATTGGGGTGGTGACATTTTAAAATACTGTTAATAGCTGATATTTATCCAATGCCACATGGAGTCTCGTAGCTGAGCACTTACATACTTTATCTAATCTCATCTGCACACCAGCATTGTGAGATAGGCCCCGATGACCATCCCATCCCATATTACCAGGGAGGCCTCATTTATCTCCATGCCCAGATACCCCTTCAGAGGCATGGATTTGCCTGGGCGAGGATCATGCTTAATTTTGCTCCATACCATCAGCCCCCAACAGCAAGTGGGTGCTTCATATTGGTTGGCCAAACAAGGGGAAAATGAGTGAATCTGCAACTCCGACCCTTCCCACAGGCCTCACTGGAACCCTAATTTAAGAACAATGCTGTAGTCCTATAATCTTAAATGAAAAAGCAGGATGTGAAATGTGGTGTGTGCATGCATGTCACATGTGTGCGTGTGTCTGTGGAGGCAGGGCACGTAAACTGGGGAGGCTTGGAGGTCATGACTGGAGTGTGGGTGCTGAGTTCTGCTGTTTGGGGCATCCTGGTTCTGTGATTTGGGATGAGATGCCTAAGCTCTCTGGGCCTCAGTTTCCCCTTCTGTAACATAGGGGTAATCACAATACTTGACAGGGTTATTGCGAGGACAAAGTGAGTTATTACACACAGAGCACCTAGAACAATGTGTGGCCTCTAGTAATCACTAATGAAGTGTTTGTTACCATAATCAGTAAATAGGGATGGGAGGAGCTAGATGGAGAGGTAGACGTATTGATAACAGTGCATGGGCCTTGTAAGGGAGTAACCAGTATATTTCCCTTATTCTGCATACCTCAGCTCCTTCACCTCTCCCACAACCCTGTGTGACACCTGAGGCAGCTCAATTCTCTGGCCCTTTAAACAGAGTGTGTATTAGTGGAGAGGTCACATAAAGAGGAGGTGGTGGCCCATGCAGAGGCCTTGTGGCTATGAGGAGGGGATGCTGCAGGGTGACACAGAGTGGACTGAGGGGCCTGGGTCAGCAAGGCCATAGAGAGTTCTGTGATGACCACAGCCGAGTGCCAGGGCAGGACAGCTGACCAGACATCAACTCTCCATTGCTGCCCAAAGCCCCCCACCCCATCCTCACCGGCAACTTAGACAAGCCTTTCAGGAAGGACCAGATGGAGGGAGAAAAATTCTCAGTTGACTGAGTTGTAATCTGCATTTACCAAAGAAAAAACTTGAAGTGACTGAATTTATCCAGGATTGACTAGAGTGGAAATTTCTGCTTTCAGGGAGAATGAGGCTCAAGAGAGGAATGAAGTTCAGTGATAGAAAAATAATGAAAATTATATATTTTGTATACATGCCTATGTGGCTTATGAAAATCTCACCACCATATGTTATCCTTCCTGTATATAATTTCAAAATATGTGTACTTATGTGTGTTAATATATATAAACTGAAAGAAAGAAAATTAACCAAAATGTATTGGTTATCTCTGGATGAAGGGATTATGGACTATTTTTAATTTTCCTTAATATGCTCTACTGTATCTTTTCAATTTTCTAAAGTAAACATGAACTACCTCTATGATCAGAAAGAGAATAATTATATAGCTGTGAACTGTGGGTTTACATAGTTCTTCAAGTCAGGCAGATTGGGCCAGTAGGTGGTGTGAACCAGGTCACAGGAAGGTGTTAGGCCAGGGGCTGTGTCCTCAGAGAGACCCTCCCTTTCCTGAGCCCGTTTGATGGGGATCATTCATGTCACATGTGTCTACGTGCAGCCAGGACCCCATAAATATTCCTTCCCAGAAAGGAAGGCAGAGAGCTTTCAGTCCTGTCCTCTAATGCTAGCAGGAACAATGGCCTCCCCTTTACAGATTAGAAACTGGAAGCTCAGAGAGGTCTAGTGACTTATGCAGGGCCACACAGTCAGGGAGCAGCCATGCTGGGGTTGGAACTCGGACTTCCAGACCAGGTGTGCCTCACACCACGCCACCTCTGTTGGTCAGCAGGAAGTGGTTCCAGGACAAATCTCCATGCCCATGTCCTCAATACCTAATGGGGATTTACGACTCAGAGAAAATAAAAGCTTAGAGGGTTTTTTGCACCTTGTCCAAGGTCACACAGCAAGAGCAGAGTTGGCATTAGAATTCTCATGCTTGATGCCAGAATACGAAGATACTCAGAAAAGAGTATGATATGGGACAAAAGGGCAAAAAAAAAAAAAGCAAAGAAGTGCGAAGACAGGAAAGAGACTACAAGTGCTTCCTGAAACAAAGAACACAGTCCAGCATGTGTGTGCGCGTGCACATGTGTGTGTTGGGGGGTGAGTGGGAATGGTGTTGTAGTGTGGGGGGAAGGTAGGAGCTGAGAATGAGAGTCAGGGAATAGGGCAGGGGGAAGGAGAAAAGAGACAGATGGGAAACAGTCCGTGAAAGCCAAAAACCTCAAGTCAGACAAATGTTTATTTTATTTAGTGTTGATAACAGGGAAAAAAACGCTGATGGAAACTCACAAATAGCACAGGCTAGTGCCAGCTCTTTAGACCCTAGTGGGAAGTGCTAGAATGTGCCTCTGCCCAGCAGGGCAGCCCCCCTGCCGAACATGATGCTTGCCTAGGAACCTACCTGAGGAGACTTCTCCAGTGGAAAGGGCCCTGAAATGGGAGCCTGGGGCTAACTGCACAGGCAGGCTGCTCCGTTCTCAGAGTGCCAGGTCCTTGTCTGTGAAGGCAACGCCGTCATTCCTGCACCGTCCACCTGATGAAACCACTGGGAGGACTTCACTTTTGGCCAAAGTGGGATCACAGGAACTGTCTCCAGCTTCCTGCCTGAAATAGCAGCAACAATGTCAGCAACAGCAACAAATAGACAAAATCTATGAACCCACAGTTTTCAAGACAGTGGGCCTCAGGAAGTGAACTACTGTGATTTCTCAGAGATGGGAAACAAGGAGGTGAGCCCTGGGATGGCCCCAGGCACCTGCCTGGAGAGAGAGTTCCTACGCTGCAGCACAGGGAGGGGGACCCAAATGGAGCCCAGTGGACTCCCTGATTTGATGAGATGGAGCTGAGAGTGAAGGGACACCCAGGTGGCGAGAGTTCACAGGATGGAACACAGGACAGAGTACTGGAGACAAGACATACACACACACACACTCACACACACACCTCTAGAGAGCTGCAGAGACTCCACCAAGTACTCAGCAGAGTTCTGGTCAGCACATACATGTAAGGAAATTACCTGAGACCAGGAAAGAAAACCCGCTAAAAGGGTTTGAGGGAACAGCGTGGAGGACCCACAGGGGTGTGAATAGTTTCTGTTCCCACCAGCTAGGCTGGAAAAAAAAATCTCATAATTCAGAGGGAAATGAGTAGAGTACTCGAATGCATGATCCTTAATCAAATGTTCCTGTTATTCCAGAAAAGATGTCTACCCCCCACCCTAGTTACTTTGAATCAAGTTCAGACTCAGCCCTGTCTCCGCAGTTGGTTTTTATAGCTCTGAACAGATCAGCCTCCCCTGACCCTCTTTATTTCTCATGCTGTTGACTTGGTGAAGAATATGGGTTCATTGTTCCATGGGGCACCCTGCATTTGGGATTTGGTTGGTGCCCTTCTTGTGGTGGTGTTGAACTCTTTCCTCTATCCTGGTATTTCCTTACGCTAAGTGTTAGGTCCAAAGGCTTGGGTTCAGGCCCTATTCTTTTGGCAAGAATCCTTCGTGGGTGGCACTTCCTTATTAAGATGAAGTGTGCTTTGAGATGGTAACTCTAGGAATGCACCCTCGGCTCATCAGCATCGGCTGCTCATTACAGCTGCTGGGAATGCAGCCTCCTGGCATGGTGTTTTGCCTCTTTCTGTCCCCCACTAAAAGGCATATTAAGATGCATGTAGGTCAGAATAAGGTTCATGTGTGGACAGCCTTGAATCCACTCTTAGTTTTTAAAATGTCTTCCAGAAGTTTGAGTCTTTTTTTTTTTTTTACAAAACCTGGTATTTATAACAAATAATAGTGAAACATGGTGAGTTATGAGGTTGTCACCTATGGGCCTACAAAGTAGGGTGACCAGTTGTCCCTGTGTGCTGGGGGCTGAGGGATTTCCCGGGATATGGGACCTTCATTACTAAAACTGGGAATGTCCTGGGCAAACCAAGATGGACTAGTTACTTTACTACAAATTGTAGAATTGTCTGGTAGCCAGGATTATAAACAAGCAACTTAGTGTGCCAGAACTACCCAGGCTTTAGATGTGGTCCTGTCCCCTCTTTATGCCATCTGAGTAAGTGATGGTTGTCTGGGCTTTCCAGTGATGGAGACACTAGTCCTTTTCCTAAGGGTGAATAAGTTTAAGTCCTTTTCCTATTCACTCCATTGGTGGATAAGTTCAACTGTTAGAAAATTTGGCCTTCCAGTGAATTCCATGAACCCACTTGTGAGCTGGAATTTTACCCCACAGGGCCAAGCATATGATGTTAATCAACCAATTGGACCATTGAAGTCCACACCATGGACCTTCCAAGCAAACATCTGCAAGTACATTGCTGGTCATGACATTAGGACCCTTCCCTCCACTTTCCCACATTCCTCAGGACACGGTCCAGGACTTGGCATAAGAGGATCACTGGCACCAGAACAGAGGCCAGACTGAAATGCAAGAGGACCCTCTGCAGAGGAGGTTTGCCTGCTCCCTCTTGCCTTCTAGAATCTAGGTCTGCAGGCATTCCCCCTTAACCCTCAAGCCTAGTGCAATCTGTTCCTCTGTGCATGGGAGAGATGTGCTATCAAAAGGGAAACCTTGTGTGTCCTTACACCTCTCAAGTGGATGGGAGGGGAAGGGAGTGCCTGACTTCATCCATTAAGGATGAACCAGCTGTTCTAGCCTGCTTGAGAGGATTTCAAACTAGAGCCAAGAATTTAACTTCAAGAAGTAATTTTACCTTCTGAAATCAAATCATCTAATTTACAGGGCAGTTGTTGAACAGGCATTCCCATTGGGTTTAATGCTGCAGCTTTTCCGGAAACTTATGTGGAATGGAGGTCAAAATTTTATGGGCTCAGATGCATTTTCTTGCTAGCTGAGTGACTGTTTTCAGGACTTCTGGCTCCCTCCAAGATGCCTCTCCTGTCTAACCAGCTCAGTGGCATCCCCTCTGTCTTCCTCTCTTCTCTCCATGATTCCCCGAAGAGCCCTTCAATATGTCCCTACTTCTGATCCTTCCCAGCCTGTCCTGGGGATGCCACAAGCCTTACCTTTGCTAATTGCCTGCTTTATCCTAACTGCCCACCCCTCCCAACCTTACTCCCCAGGTTTGTCTTCCAAGGGCCTCATTCTCTGGCTCCATGGACCTGGCCAAATTCTCCCTGTCCTTGGCCTCCATCTTCCTTCTTCAGAAACTAGTCAAACAGGTTCTGTCTGTCCCCACTTTGGTGTTGGTGAATACTTCTTTCTAGGCTGACCTCCTACAGGCAATTTTCCCTATGATTAATATCTTTACGTTCCTCACTGACTTCTCCCTCCTCTGACCTCCACCTCTGATCACCAGTGTTGCACAAACCAACACAGACAAGTTTCTCTTCCCTGGTGGGCCTCTTTCTTCTCTTTGGCTAATTTGTAAGTCCCTGGAGGGCTGGGACCAAAAGTCTATGCCAGAGAGAGTGAGTACTCATTAAACCTCTCATGTGCATTCCTAGGTTTCCAGCCTTTCTTGCTGGAAGATGGGGCCGTGTGACTAGCTGTAGGCTGTGAGCAGAAGTGGCATGTGTCACTTCCTGACTGAGGCAGTTAAGAGCTGGCAGAAGTCCTTCTCCATTCCTTTCTTCCATGCCACAATGACTACAGATGCCATGTGATCCAGATGCTACACTTATAAGATGATAGATCCTCTGTCAGCCTGGTTCCCTGAATCTGTGTGGATTAGAGCTTCCCACTGCCCTACATTAGACATGTAATATGAGCAAGAAACAAACTCCATCATCTTAAGTCTCTGAGATTTGGGGCTTTTTCTGCTGCAGCAGCTAGCATTGCTCAATGTTAATACAACATCTTGTTTGTTCCCTCCATCTCCACTGTTCTCTGCCTGGCAGCTCTGAGCACAGACTGGTCACCCAGCATGGATTCAGTGAGCTTTTTCATCTAAATGATGAATTTCGTGGGATGCTAATAGATATGGAATTCATAAATGGAACAGCTTAAGAGGGTGTTCTCAGCGGCATGCCCAGTGAAAACTACTATTGAACTTGACCTCCTGGATAGGCCACTATCCATCCTGACTTCATTGGCCAAACCCTGGGATGCTGTAGCATGCTGACTTAGATTCAAAATCAGGACTGAGATTCCTTTAGCTGTTGACTTTGGGATAATCATGTGCCCTCTCAAAGCCACAAGTTCCACATCTGCAAAGTGACCAAATGATATCAGAGCTCCAGAGGACCTGGAGTCCCCATCACTGCCCTTCTAGGAAGGCCAGTCTGTTTCCAGGAGACAGGGGATTCTGGGGCCAACACTACTGTGGTGATGTAGGTATGATGCTCCTGGATTTTGGAAGTAAAGAAGGTAAAACTGTAGTACAATAGAGAGAGGCACTTTGTAGAGCCACAAACCCACAGACCATGGCCTGCCACATGATCCAATCATTGCCTTTCCTTGGACTGGGACAGGCTGGCAAACCAGAGCTCAAACTATGAGGGGACAGGTGATCCCTGCCCTCACCATGATATGAGTTGAAACTTGTCAGGCCTTCAGGGGTGTGGCTGTGTCTTTTTCACAATCTATTCCCAGGGCCTACTCAGAGCCTGGCCCATGGAGAGTGCCTAAGGGCTACTGACATCCCCAGTGGTGGCAAGTCCTTGTCGGCAGGATGTGTTAGCTGAGTCCAGTGGTCACTGGGCAGGGAGGCCATGTGAGGCGTTCTGAACAGAGAGATGACCATCTAGATATGTCTGGGCTGAGATTCCTCAGTGGCTTCCCGGGAGAAGCCAAGGGGACACCTGGGAAGTCAGCGGCACGGGCTGCAGGAACAGGAAAGGCCACAATGAGGTAAGGCCCCCTCTTGCCTCTATGCTGAGGTGGGATACCTGCAACACATGTTCTTAACATATGTTAACCTTGGTGCTTTCCTCCTGCCAAGAAGCTGTCATGGAGGCATTTAGCAGAGGAAACGGCGTAGGAAACGTTTCTGTTGTACTTTGGGGCACTGTGCAACTAATGGGGCATGTATGACGGGGGCTGTGGGTGGGGGAGGTGGGCCCCCACTGACCCTGCCAAAGCCTGTTTGGTCCAGCACCAGAGGAGCAAGTGTGAATAGCATTTGGCAGCTGAAGCCAAGTCCCCTCGGCTGTCATGTGGGATGAAGCACTGGGGACGGAGGCTGAGCACCTACGATGCACAGGGTGCTGGCTTTGGGCCTCACGCATCTGCCGTCTCCCTGCACCCTCACCACAGCCCTGCCATATAGACATCGTCCTTCCAGTTACAGATTAAGAAGCTGCCTTGAAGTCGGCCTGACTCCAAGCAAATCTAACTCTACTAGAACTCAAAGGAACTCACAGCAGTTTCCTTGGTGCCATGAAGCCAATGAACCCATTTAGGACACGGAGAACAGCATGCAACATGATCTGCAAGTTACTTGTCTGAAGTTCGGGGTTATAAGGTAGCCTAAATGAGGATGACTTTATATGGCAGAGGTCTGGGGACAAAACATCAACTCTTGAGGTTGGGATCAGGCTGTGGTTTTCATCCTAGGAAAGATGTGTATTTTGTGGCTTCTTTCTCTCTCCAGTTGCAAACACAATGTACATAGGCAACGCACACAATGAACACACATATATCTGCATGGATACACTCTCTTTTTTTTTTTTGACAGAGTTTCACTCTTGTTGCCCAGGCTGGATTGCAATGGCACGATCTCGGCTCACCTCAACCTCTGCCTCTTGGGTTCAAGCGATTCTCCTGCCTCAGCCTCCCGAGTAGCTGGGATTACAGGCATGTGCCACCATGCCTTGCTAATTTTGTATTTTTAGTAAAGATGGGGTTTCTCCATGTTGGTCAGGCTGGTCTCAAACTCCTGACCTCAGGTGATCTGCCCGCCTCGGCCTCCCCAAGTGCTGGGATTACAGGCGTGAGCCACCACGCCTGGCCATTGATACACTCTTAAAAGCCCACACACCTATCTATACACATCCTCACTCACGTGTATGAACAGACAGTCACGATGATGCTTACATGTGACACACCCACATACACCTGCTGTGTCCTCTCACCCACATATCCACAGGACTACTTGCTTTATAGACACAGCCTACATCAAATTGCCTTCACACACACACACACACACACACACACACACACACTCCCTCTCAGGTGGACATGCTAACACACATACACAACAGGCTAATCCACATAGCAAGAAAACTCACATTTACACAGCTCTTTCTCTGAGCAAAGAAATTCTATCTTTTCTAGGAGAGAACAGGAAAGCGAGCTAGCAGTTCTTAGCTGCTTTCTGTCATCTCCCACAACTCTCAAAGGCGACGAGCTTTTTATGCAGAAAAACAAAAGCAAAAGAGGGCAGGTTGGAAGTGGCTGGGGGCCTAGTGAGGATCTCTCCGGGGATGAACTGCTCGGTGTTTTTACCCCTCTAGATTTCAGTTTCCGCAAGTGTTAAGTGAGGATAAAACTCCCTTCCAGCCCCTTCCCACGGCCTCTGTGGGTATCATATCATCTGATACAGGGATGGGAAGCTGTTCAGACGAGTCCTGGGTGGGCCCCCTCAAGGCTGAATTCCCTATTACCAGTCACAGAGCCTATTCCAAGGTCAAGCCATGCCCTGCTGGCTTGCGTGGGGAAATGTGGCAGTGACACCCTGAAGGGACATTCATAAGGGTCACACTGTCAGAGCTGCACACGCTGTCACCATGAAAGAGTCTCCCTTATTTCACAGGTGGGGAAACTGAGGCACAGGAAGATTAAGGACCCAGTGCTTAGAACAACGACTGTCACTTCCCAGTTCCCCAGTGGACACTGGAGGAATGACTGTCGGATGCTGCTCTTCTGCCATCTTCCAAGCAGCTCTTGAGGCTTTGAGGGCTTGGAGTATGAGGGACTCGACAAGGCAATATTAAATTTTGTACAAAGACTGTGGGAAATTTGGAGGCTGATCTGTTCCTCTAGTCCTGGGTGACGCAACCACTCTTCCCTGCCTTGTGTCAACACCTCACCCAGGACATGAGAACTCCCCTTCACCCAGCTCATTGGGATTTGCTGTGCTTATGGGTGTACACCCACTACAGGCACGCGTGGGAACACGTGTGTGCACGCACGCACACACACACACACACACACTCTTCTCTCTGTCTCTTTCTCTCTCTCTGTCTACAGACTCACACAAGAAAACCTGTCCAGGTTGGTAATATTTCCAGAAAAAGCAGATACAGGGAGAGGCAGTAGGAGTCCCCAGGCTGCCTGCCCCTGGGGTCCCAAATAACATGTCCAGGTGATTGGTGTTGACATAAACTTTAATGCTGAGTTTCTAGCCAAGCACCGGGTCTCACCAATGTCAGGGTGAACACAGTCTAGTCCCTTCCCTTGTAGAGCTTATATTCCAGTGGAAGGTCACTGTGTGGTCAGCAACATGGAGGGGCAGAGCTTGGAGGAGGGCTAATAAGACACATGTCTAAACAGGGTCCTCTGGGTGCCCTGAAGAAGGAATGATGGACTCCTTCCTGCAGGGGCTCTAGCCAAGACTTTGCCAAGAAGGAGTATGGAAGACTGTGAAGGCCGCTTGAATGTTGCCAAATAAAGGAGTGTGGTAGGGTGTTCTAGGCCAGAGGACAGCATGTGCACCAGCCAGAGGGTGAAGCCTGCAGCATATTTAGGGCAGACAAGGGGTCCTGTGCGACCAGAGCCTGAGACAAGAGGGGCCAGAGAGGCAGCATGGAGACAGGTGAGGAAGAGACTTCAGTGCCTTGCCAAGGGTTTGTCTTTATTCTCTGGATGGGGTAGGGATCATGGGATGGGTTTAAAGAGAGAAGGGACGAGATCAAGTGTGTGGTTGCAAAGGTTACCTGGTGGCCCGATGGAGGTGAGGAAACCGGCATCTAACTAAAGGCACCAGAGGCTGAAGCAAGGAAGATGCAGGGGAGCTACTGCCTTCCTGGCTCTCCCAGGTCAGTCAGGAGGTCCTTGCAATAACTGGGGCGAGACTGGTGTGTTGGAACTGTCCCAAAAGAGGATGTGGGAAGTGAGAGGAGGGATGGATCAGTGAGGGGTCAAGGAGAGGGAGGCGTCAAGGACGGTGGTGGTGGTGCCAGTGCCCCAGGTTTGGCGGGGAGCAGGGCGGACTCACCTTCCCCATCCTGGAGGAGGGGCAGGCAGTGAGGTCACATCCCTCCCCCGGCTGTCTCGGCAGGAACCAGCCATTGTTTGTCAGCCTGTGCTGTCCCAGGAGCTGCGGCTTAGAATATTAAAATCTTTCTCAGGTTTATCTCCTCCCCATCTCGCTCATTTGAAATCCCTGCAACTGGGGGGAGAAAGTTACTTTAATCCTCTGGTTCCTATCAGCCTAATTACAGTTTCAACAGACAACGGACCGGGCTCTAAATGAGATCTGAGGACACTGGAACACATTATGTTGGCGCTAATAATGGTCTGTCTTTGTTTTATCATTTCTTGTTGTTGCTTCTCATTTTGGCTGCCTGAATTCTTAATGCCTTTGAGTGTCTCGGGGAGATTGCTTCCTCTTGCTGGCAGGCCGGGACACAGTTCCAGACTTGCATATGAAAATACCCAGCCTGTGCCTGCAGCTAACACGCCAGCCGCCATTTAAATTTCAATCAGCCCTTCTGTTTGTGTGTGAGTTCCTTGGATGGATGAAATTAGCAATTTTGAAAAATTGATTAAAATTGCTGGTTTCACGAAGCCTCAAAACATCAAAATCAATCTTTTTTTAAAAAAAAAATACACCAAAATTCTTGTTGGACTTACCACGTCTGCAGTATGAGAAGCTGCTGATTGCCAGTGGGGTGGTGGGGACCTGAGGGCTGGGTGGGCTGGGGCTTCTTTTGGCTCTGGACACACTCCTATGTGACCTTTTTAAGAGTTTGACTCTTGCTGGGTCTCATTGTTCTTTCGTTTGTGGAATAAAGGGGTTTGACTGAATAGGGCACCTCTAGAAGACTCTTCTCCAGCCCTGGAACTATGTAATCATGTGCTCTGAGTCAGGTAAAAAACCAATGAAACTTTGCAGGTAGAATCTGCATTTAGATGAGGGTGAGAATACCAAGAACAGATATCATATTAGCTAACATTTTGAAGTGCTAAATCAGGTGCTTTATGTGCATTATTTACACCCATTTAATCATCACAGGAAGACTATGAGAAATACAATGATTACCCCCATTTTCAGATGTGGAAACGGAGGCCTACACCTTTCCCCACATCCAGGTGAATATAATTGCAGGAAAAGTCTGCTTTGATCCATCCAGCAGAGGGGTCTCCTAGGGCCCCCCTGCAATGGCTCTGGGGGAGTCACACATGTGATTGACGCATGTCAGGCTCCCTGGTCTGATGGGGCAGTGGACGTTGGCAGCAGACATTCGAGGCCTCCCTGGGTCTGCTCTCTTCTCTGAGCTTTGAGTCAATGTCTTGAAAGCTCTATTCATCACCTTTGCAGCAGAGACGGGTCAAAGAAGTGAAATGGTAATCAAAGACACGCATGTGATATTTCCCCAAATAGTGTGACCTGCTCAACGACACAGACCAACAGTCCTGGCCACTGTCTAGGCACAGAGAAACCCTCGGTCATCACTGGTTGTTTTGAGGAAAAAGAAAACACTCTGGGCTGGCCGCGATGGCTCACGCCTGTAATCCCAGCACTTTGGGAGGCCGAGGCAGGCGGATCACAAGGTCGGGAGATCGAGACCATCCTGGCTAACATTGTGAAATCCCGTCTCTATTAAAAATACAAAAAATTAGCTGGGCATGGTGGCTGGCGCCTGTAGTCCCAGCTACTCAGATTGCCCCACTGCTCTCCAGCCTGGGCAACAGAGCGAGACTCCGTCTAAAAAAAAAAGAAAAAAAAGAAAAGAAAACACTTTGCTGCTCTGGGCAGCAGTAACTTTCCTTCGCCTCTTCTGGTCCCACCCTTCATGAACCTCCACTTGCCTCGAAGGGGAGAAAATAGGCTACCCTCTTCCAGAAACTAGGCGGGTCTGCTCCTTCCACTGCAGTCTGAGTAAGACAAGTGTCACGGCCATTTTCTGCCTTTTGTGGGTCCCCGTGGCACGGCTGCCGACAACACTTAATCACAAGAATCACCTTCGATTCTTGTTTAAAAAGCCAGGCTGCTCAGAGCCTGCTCTACCCTTTCTGAAAAGAGCCCTCGCCTGTCTGGGAAGCCCTGCTTCTCTCAACATGCTGTAAGTGTATACGGGGACCATATTCTCGCCTTCCAATTTACTGGCCAAGTGGCTAGTGTGCAGACAGTTCAAATTCTCTTCCCTATCTCATGAATATTTATTGAACACCTACTAACGTTAATGGGAAAAGATAGAGGTGCTATGGGAAGGATATTTTTTCTAGATTTAGAATAGAATCTATCACCAGCGTTTCCTGACTTTGTGAAGTCACTTAAGTCTTTGGGACTTGGTTTCCCTGATTGTCAGGTAAGAACAATATCCCTCTCTCTGGACTGTCTTGAGGAGACATGGAATGCATGTGGAATGTCAATCTGGTAAAATGCCTGACGCCTAAGTAGATACTCTTTCTACCAGAGAAAACCCACCCACCAAGAGCCCTGTCCCAAGGCTGCTGTGAATCCGCAAGTGGCTGGCATAGTCTGTAACTCCTCCTTCAAGAGAGGAGGATGCTGGGGGGTTGGTTAAGCTCATTCACCAGAGAAGTGACCTGCCCCTGTTTACCAGCCTCATATAGCATTTTTTTTTCTTTTTTTTTTTTGAGATGGAGTCTTGCTCTGTCGCCCAGGCTAGAGTGCAGTGGTGCCATCTCAGTTCACTGCAACCTCCGCCTCTCGGGTTCACGTGATTCTCGTGCCTCAGCCTCCCAAGTAGCAGGGATTACAGGCGCCCACCACCACACCAGGCTAATTTTTGTACTTTTAGTAGAGACGGGGTTTCACCGTCTTGGCCAGACTGGTCTCAAACTCCTGACCTTGTGATCCACCCGCCTCTGCCTCCCAAAGTGCTGGGATTGAGAGGTGAAGCCAGCTGGACTTCCTGGGTTGAGTGGGGACTTGGAGAACTTTTCTGTCTAGCTAGAGGACTGTAAATGCATCAATCAGCACTCTGTGTCTAGCTAAAGGATTGTAAATGCACCAATCAGCACTCTGTAAAAATGCACCAATCAGCGCTCTGTAAAATGGACCAATCAGTGCTCTGTAAAATGGACCAATCAGCACTCTGTAAAATGGACCAATCAGCAGGAGGTGGGCAGGGACAAATAAGGGAATAAAAGCTGGCCACCACCCCCCACTCCAAGCCAGCAGGCAACCTGCTCCAGTCACCTTCCATGCTGTGGAAGCTTTGTTCTTTCGCTGTTCACAAAAAATCTTATTGCTGCTCACTCTTTGGGTCTGTGCCACCTTTAAGAGCTGTAACACTCACCACAGAGGTCTGCAGCTTCATTCTTGAAGTCAGTGAGACCAAGAATCCATCAGAAGGAACCAACTCTGGACACATTAGGACATGGGCCTGGAGCTGCTGGGGCCATTTCTGCCACCTTGTAGGGACAGCCAGCTCGAGGATGAAGTCAACAGAGAAGAACGGAAGCTGAGAAACAGAACTAATCATTCCACCTAGCACCTGGGTTCAGCCAGGACTAACACTGGTCATGTGAGTTGATAACATTTATTTTTGGTTTAATCCAGGCTGAGCTGGGTTTCTTTCATGCTTAGACAAAAGTAAGTGCTGACCAAATCAAAGCTTTTTCCCTTGGCTGGGAAACCCTGATTCCCCAATGCAATGGCTCTGCTCATGTGGTGCTGAGGGCTTACACCAAGGTGGTAGAGAAGTCCCCTTGAATAGAACTAGGCTTTGGACTGCTGGGCTGCAGTATAATTGAGGTCCTGGAGAGGGAGCCAGTTCAGGGAAGAAAGCACCAATACCTTGAGCCTCAGTGCGAAGAAGAGCAGCCTGGAAGCAAATGTGTATATTTGCTTGAATTGATATATATATATTAATTCAACATCATTTATGGTAAAAACTTGCAGTGCAAGAATACAGTCTTGCACTGCAAGTTTTTACCATAAATGATATTGAATTGTGTCAATTTTTTTCAAGATTCTATTGAGATAATCATATAAATTCACTTATATTTGAATATTAAACTGACCTTTAATTCCTAGGATAAACCCCACTGGGTCATAGTGTATTATCATTTTTGTATTAACATACTGTTGAATACAATTTGCTCATATTTTAGCAGCATTTGTGCTCCATGAAGGGTATTGGTCTGTAGTTTTCTATTTTAATATATGCTTTCTGGTTTAGGTATCAGAATAAGTTTGCTCATAAAACAAATGGGGAAGAGTTTTCTTTGTTTTCTAAAATAATTTGATAGGTCTGATTTTTTTAAACCTAGTTTTTAAAAATAGAATCTGCCAGTGAAACTATTGGAACCTAGTGCTTTCCTTGTGGGAAGGTTTATAACTACAAATTCCATTTCGTTAGCACATACAGGGTTATTTATGCTTTCTATTTCTTCTTGAGTGAGCTTTGGTAATTTGCACATTTCAAGGAATTTTTACATTTTCTCTAAGTTGTTGAATTTGTGACATAAAATTGTTCATGCTATTTCCATATTAGCCATTTAATTAAAGTAGGGTCTGTAATATGTCGTTTTTTTCCTGGGATTGGTAAGGTGTGTCTTCTTTGTTTCTTGGTCAATCTGGCTAGAGGCCTAGCAATTGTCAATGGTACTAGTTTTTTGACCTTGTAGAACTACCAGCGTTTGTACTCATTTCCCTCTGTGTTTGTCATTTTCTACTTCAGTGTTTTATGCTCTTATTTTTACTATTTTCTTCCTTCTACTTTCTTTGGGTTTATTTTGTCCTTCTTTTTCTTCATTCATCAAATAGGGCCTTAAATGATTGACTTTAGGACTTTCTCCTTTCTGATATCAATACAAAGTTGTCATTGCATCTTAGAGCTGCTTTATCTGTATTTCACAAACTTCATAAGCTTTGTTTTTATTTTCATTTAGTTCAAAATATTTAAAAATCTCCCTTGTAATTCATTCTTTGAGCTATGGGTTATTTAAAAGTGCATTGTTTAATTTCTAAATATTTTGGGCTTGTGCATATATCTTATTATTATGATTTTAAAATTTAATCCCACTGTGGCCAGAGAACATACACAGTACTATGTCAATACTTTAAAACTTACTGGTATTTGTTTTATGTAAATTACCTTTTGTCATGCACACCAGACTATGTGGTAATGTACAGGTAAGTCAGGTCTTGTGGAAAAAAAAGGTCTGATTGGTAGTATTTGCCAATTTTCATGGTATAAATACTTGCACCGTGGCCAAATTCAACATAATGTTACTAAATGTACTATTGGAAAGAAATGTGCACAATTTTGTGAGCTGCTACAAGCCAGCTCCAGCACAACACTGGGAATATGGTCTACTTGGTAAGTATTCCACGTGCACTGGAAGTTATACGTATTTTGTTGTTGTTGGGTAGAGTGTTCCATAAAGGTCTATTTGGTTAAGTCTCCTATATCCTTATAGATTTTCTGTCTCCTTGTTCTGTCAATTACTGGTACCACTTTATGTGTGATATAAGAATCTTATAGCAATATAATTCCTTTCTTCCCTCCTGTCCTTTGTGCTGTTATTGTCACATATTTTACTTATACATACATTATAAACCCCACTCCACATTATTTTTACATTGTCATCAACCGCCTTTTAAGGAAAATAAGAAATTAGAAAACACAAATTTTTTTTTTTAACCTACCTGCATATTTAGCATTTCTGGGACTCTTCATTCATTTGTATAAACTTGATTTCTGTCTGATATTTTCCTTCAGCTAGAAGAACTTTGTTTAATAATTCTTATAATGCAGGTATGCTAGGGATAATGAAAATTTGTCTGAAAATTCTTTATTTTGTCTTTACTTTTGAAGGATATTTTCACTGGCTATAGAATTCTAGATCAACAGTCTCTTTTCCTTTCCTTTCTACACACTAGAGATGTTCCATCGTCTTCTGGCTTGCGTAGTTTCATGTGAGTCTTTATTACTTTTTAGTTATTTTACTCTGTACATGAGTATTTTTCCTCTGGTGACTTTTAAGATTTCTCATTTTCATAAACTTGGTTATGAAATGCCCTGATATGATTTTCTTTGTATTTATCCTGACTGGTGCTTTCTTGAGTTTTTTGACTATGTCAACTTATATTTTCAAAAACATTTAGAAAACTCAGCTAATACTTCTTCAAATAATTTTAATGCTCTCTTCCTTTTCTTTGAAGACTCTATATTATGTAATATAGTTGTGCTATTGTGATATAATAAAAAATACATATTCTGGCTTTTGTCACAGCTTCTGGTTCCCAGCTCCTACAACCCTCATAATTTCCCAAGTGACTAGAGCCATAGGTGTATTTTTTTGCTAAAAAAATTTAGACTTTTTTCCTCAGTTCCTGAAACAGCTGCATGGCAATACAAGTGAAAAACATGTGTTTTATTATTCACAGCAGGTCTCTTACAACCACACCTGAGTTTATATTAATGAAGTGATTATTTTTGGAAAGCCCTTAGATAATCACAGGATTGGGGCTGGTTGCCAGTGGGACTGACCATGTGATTGGAGGGTTGAAACTTTTGGCCCCACTCCCTCACCTTCTGAGAGGGAAGATGGGCTAAAAGTTGAGTTGATTACCAAATCACTGTGATATAATCAATCATGCTTACATAATGAAGCTTCCATAAAAACCCAAAAGGACAGAGTTCGAGGAGCTTCTAGGTTGGTAAATAAGAACACATTCATGCACTGGAAAGGTGGTGTGCCTCAAATCCACAGAGACAGAGCTCTTATGCTTGGGACCCTTCTGAATCATTTGTGTGTCTTTATCTGACTGTTCGATTGTGTTGTTTACAATAGTCTTTGTATTAAATGGGTAAGTGTAAGTATAACAAAATGTTTCCCTGAGTTCTGTGAGCTCTCTAGCAAATTAATTAAACCTGAGGAGAAGGTCATGGGACCGCCTAGTTTAGATCTGGTTAGTCACAAGGTATAAAACCCAGACTTACAATTAGCATCTGAAGTTGATGGGGACAGTCTTGTGGAACTGAGTCCTTCACCTATGGGATCTGACCCTGTCTCCAGGCAGATAGTATCAAACTGAATTGAATTATAGGACACCCAGCTGGTATCTGCTGAAGAACTGGTTGTTTGTGGAAAGAAATCTTCACACATTTTGGACACAGAAGTTTTCTGTGTTGTGTGCAAGGGTAGACAGAAAACAATGTGTTTTTTTCTTCAGAATGGTAGATCACTGAATATTGTCCTTTATGTCACTGAGGCTCTGTTTAATTTATTAGCTTTTTAAAAATATCTCTTTGCTTCTATTTGGATAGTTCTTGCCTTCTATTCAATCTTATTTACAACTTCTTTTTGCGATGTTTAATCTGCTATTAAGCCTGTCTGGTGAATATTCCATTTTAGATATTATATATTTTTTGGCTCTAGGTGTTCTGGATTAAAAAAACCTTTTATCTCTTCAGTGTGCTATGTTTTTCTTAAGCCTTGAATATATTTATAATAGCTGTTTTAAAGTTCTTTTCTGCGAATTCTATTACCTCTATAATTTCTGGTCTTGATTCTATAGGTTTGTCCTATTGAAATTTATTGGGTTACTTTTTAATTTTTTTTTTTTTGCATGTTTCGTTATTTTTAATTAGATGCTGGACATTGTGTGTTTGAAGTTATTGAATGTCTAGATTTTGTTGTGTGTGTGTGTTTTTTTCCCCCATAAAGCACATTGAGTTGTGTTCTGATAGCCAGTAGTTCACTTTCAGGTTATCTTGCACTTTTGAGCTTGGTTTTAAGTTTCATGGGATCTAAAGTAGTCTTTACTCAAAGGACAGCTAAGTTATACCACCAAGGTGTGCCTTTTATGAGACTTTTCCTAAATGCTCCAAGTGTTTGATAAGGTTTCTTTATTTGGTCAGAACTCAAATGTCTCTCAACCATACCAAGCTTTAGTATTTATTCAGCTTACAGTTCCCTGGTAGTTACTCCCTGTCTGGTGATTGTTCTTTGCCTGGCTTAATGGAGTCTTTACACATTTATAGCATAGTCTTCAGTCAAAGACTCAGGGGATCTTCATGACAATATCTGGACCTCCTCCTCTGCATAGCCTCTTCCTCTTTAGTTTTCTGCCCCACAAGTTCCAGCAGCCTCAGCCTTCCCAAACTTACATCTCTGTCTTTTCAGCTCACAGAGACTGCACGATGTGCTTGGGTTCTTGTGAACAATCGCCATGTCTGCTAAATGCTTCTAGGCAGAAATCTGCAGAATTGTAGGGCACATCTCCTTTGTTTTCTTTTTCTTAGTCACTACACTACTATGATGCCTGTTGTTCAGTGTCTGAAAACATTCGTTTTACGTATTTGTCCATACTTTTCCCCCATTTTAGATGATGTGGTAGGCAGAATATGGTCCCTTAAAGATGTTCACTCTGGAACTAGTGAATATGTTATGATATGTAGCGAAGGCAAGTTAAGATTGCAGATAAAATTAAGACTGCTAGTAAATTGACTTTAAAAGAGAGAGGTTATTTTGGATTATAATTGAAAAGGCTCCTAAAAGTGGAGGAGGAAGACAGAAGAGAGAGAAGCAGAAGGATGGCAGTGTGAGAAGGATTTGGCCCAACCTTGCTGGCTTTGAAGTTAGAAGAAAGAAAACATGAGCCAAGGGAAGCAGAAGCTGGAACAGGCAAAGAAATGGATTCTCCTGCAGCTTCCAGAAGGAACACAGCCTGCTGACACCTTGATTTCAGCCCACTGAGACTCATTTTGACTTCTCACCTCCAGATCAGATAATAAATGTATATTATGTGCAGCAGGAATAGGAAACTAATACAAGTGGGAGAGCTGTTCTGGTACTATCACTCTATCATGACTGAGAGGAGACATTTACTATTTTTATTTTTGTTTGTTTGTCTTTAAGAAAAAGATACTTGAGACCCACTACAGATATTTCGATTTGGTCAGAACAGGGGCATTAAGATTTTTTAAAATTTTCTTATTGTTCTAATGTGCACTCAAGGTTGAAAACCACTGACCCAGTCCAACCCTGTCAATTTACAGCTGAGGCCACTGAAGTGAAGAAGAGTTAGAGGCAAATGCGAGTGAAATTTCAGTCTGTTGCAAAAGACTCTGCCTAGAGGAAGGAGGGTAGGATATATGTTCTCCTAGGAGGCTGTCTTTTGGCATCCAGGCATTTACAATTGTGGCAGGAGGTCCGCAATGAACTTGGATGAGGGGTGTATGTCCTCAAAAATACAGGAGCAAAGACCAACCTATTAGCTATGCAAAACTGTGGATTTCTGCAGCCCTAAAATCAGTTCTATCAGCCTTATTACCACAGAAGTGCCCACCTATAGACCTGGTGTGAGTCATTGGTTGGTTTTGATCAAGTTGATGAGAATTCTGCTACTTAACAGACTTCAGCACTCTGGAGAACCACAGGGTGCATTCTGCCAATGCTCATATCAATTCCTTCTTCAGGTTTACATGGCAAGGGTGGCTCTCAGATCTCAATCATTCCATGCATTTAAAAAAACAGTATTTTCACCGAGCCAGCAGGTGCCAAACATTGCCTAGATTTTGGTGTTCAGTAGTGTTCTGCGATTTATTGATTCATGTTCAAAATTTAAGAGATTCTAAGATTCATTCCTTCATGAGCTCATTTGGTAAAAGTGTTTCTCCTTTCTTCTTCCCACCACTTTTCCATCCCTTCCCTTTCTTTCCCTTCTGTTTTCTCCCTTTGTAAAGTTAACCTTAGATTGGTCACATCTGGGCAGGTAGGTGCCTCCGCCAGTGGAGCACATTCAAGTTAATAAGGAGTTGGATCATTCCAGGACACCTTGACTGGAATATTTTGCTAATCCCACAATGTCTCTATATGGTTCTTAGCTGCTACCCAGCTTAGGATTTTAGGCTGATAACATCTTACACCTTTCTGTAGATGGTCAGATATTGCCTCTCTGCTTCTCTTTCCACAGTGTGTTCTGAGCTTTTCTTGGACCTCAACTTGCTGTTTAGTTTAGGAAATCTTAGCCAGCAAGCTGGCACTTTGTAGGTGGCTGGGGAAAGATGCAGAAGGCGAAGACAAAAGAGATGGTTAACACTTATGGAGTGTGTAAAACTGACCTGAGTGCTTGACCCTCAGAGCCAGGCTATAGACGGGTATTAAATATTACCTTTATTTTATATGAGAGGAGACCCAGGCACAGAGAGATTAAGTAACTTTTGTAGGAACACATAATAAATAAGTAGAAGATCTGGGATTTGTGCCCAAGCAGTCTAGAGTCTTACGTTTACTCTACTGTTAAAGGATCAGCCCTGCATTTGGATTAAGGTATGTAGCATCTCAAAGCCATGCTCCAAAGGACCAAAAGGCATTGCCTTTGCTGCTGGCCATATGCATGAGACCTCCTCCATAAGCTACCACAATTGAGTAAAAACATCAGTTGTCATAGTCTCTGCATTCAGACAGAGTCTGAATTTAGAGCCTCTATGTTCTAGTGTGTGCCCCTGGCTATCAGTTTTCTCATCTATAAAATGGGGCTAATAATACCTCTTTCAGAGAGCCATTATGAGGATTCAAATGAAATTGTGTATGTAAAGTGCCTGGCCCGGAGGGCCCACCACTTATTCAAGGGTGGACCTAGGGGAAGAAACGCTGCAAACTATTGATTGGCATCAGTGAAGAGCCCTAGAAAATGGAATGAAACAGTTTTATTTTTTACTTTTTATTTGAAATTAAAAAGTTACAAATATAGCACAGAGGGTTTCTGTACACCTTCACCTAGCTTTCCCTAATGTTAGCATCTTGTATAATTTATCAAAATCATTACATTAACAACATTGGGCAATACTGTTACTAAAATACAGACTTGATTCAGAGTTCACCAGTTTTTCTCTTAATATCCTTCCACTATTCCAGGATCCAATCCAGGCTCTCACGTTTCATTTAGCTGTCATTCTCCTTAATCCCCTCCAATCTGTGATGGTTCCTCAGAGCATCCTTGCCGTCCATGACCTTGACATTTGAAAGGGTACTGATGGGTGATTTTGTAGAATGCCCCTCAGTCTGATTGTCCCCCCATGATGAAATTGATGTTATGCATTTTTTGGCAAGAATACTATATACATGAAATGTCTTCTCTGTGCATCCTATCGGGGCGTGTGGTGATGTTGCTACGTCTTATTACTGGTGATGTTAACTTGGTCACTTGATTAAGGTGGCACCTACTGGGTTTCTCCACTGCAGATTACTGTATTTTCTTTCCCCTTTATAATTAGTAAATCTCTTGGGGGAGATACTTTGAGACAATTCGAACATGCTGCTTCTCCTCAAACTTTCACCCATTAATTTTAGCATACATCAGTGCGTCTTGTCTGCAATAATTATTACTGTGGTGTTCTAATGGTGTTTTTTTATTTCCCTTGTTCATGTCACATTTATTAATTGGAACTCTTCTGTAAGGAAGAGCTGCCTTCATTTATTTATTTATTCAGGTACTTATTTATAACCATGTGGACTCCTGGATTTTTATTTTATTCTAGGAGTTATAATTTGATACTCTCATGATGTATTTTGTTGCTCAAATTGTTCCAGCCTTGGGCCTTGGGGACTCTCTTAGTTGTTTCCTCTGTCCTTTTGGCGTGTGGGGGCAGCATTTACCAGATCAGCCAAGGCCCAGAGCCCAGGGCACACAGTGGAGGTCTGGGCAGCTGGAGTTTGCTTTAAGGCTGTGAGAGCTGGGAAGTGAGAGTGGAATCAGAAAAGATGGTGGTGCTCCACACCCCTTCTCCATGTAGAATCTGCCTCTGTAAGACCCACTCAACTGTGACATTTCACCGGACCAATCTTATTTCCCTGACTCATTCTACAGCTGAGGAAATTAAGGCCCCAGGAAGAGAAGGGCCTTGCTGGAGGCCACAGAGCAAGTTGGGTGGAAGGAGAGATTGGGGAGCAGCATGGGCTGGGGCTTTGTCCTTGCCATCCCAGGCTGACACCCCTTCCCCCACACAGTGCCTGACTGCAGAGTAGCCTGTTCCAGAATCTGGGCCGCCAAGGGCCGAGGAAAGTTTGTTCCATCAGCAGAAGCCCAGGAAATGGGAGGCTCCTGGTGCAAAGTTTCTTCAGGAAGCCCTGGGGCTGTTGGCTCTGCTCCTTCTCCTTTTTGCCCAGCTGAAAGGGAGGGGGTATTCTGTTCCAAATCTCCAGCTCCAGCTCAGTGGGGGCCTCTAATCCCCTTCTGGCTCAGGGACACGGTCAGCCAGGTCTGGTGGAGGTGCTCCCAGAGAGCAGATTTCTGCAGGCCTGGGAACAGGGTGCCATGAGGCCCCAGGCCTATCCATACAAGGGCTGGGAATGTTAGCAGCAGAGTGCAGAAAACAAGCACAGGGTTAGAGCTGACAATAAGTTCTGTGAGAGTCAGGGGCTATGTTAACAGAGATCCAGTGTGCAGAACGAGGAAGGTGACAAGCCGATACAATATACAGGACCAGCCTGCAGTAAATTCTCCAACATCTGAGCTCTTCCAGTCCTGACTATCTGCACAAATACTAGGCTCCAGGCTGTATGGAGACATATCACACCCATGGAAAATAGAAAAATCTCCCTGAAATCCTGGAAGCACATACGGAAAGCATTGGTTGTGAGGTCTGCTCAACACTTTCTTACCTACAGGGAGCTTTCCTTTCTAACACACATTTAATCCTCACTGTCTCCATAAGGCAGGCAGGACAGGGGTTAGGATCACCATTTTACAGATGCCGCAGCTAAAGCCTGAAAGAGGAAGGGGTGTGGCCTTCTCCAGGGAGTGCAGTGATTCCAGAAAGAACCAGACCTTGCAGTCTTATGTTCTGGGCTTTCCCACAACAGTAGCCTGTCTTTGGGGCTGGTTCTCCGATATCTGACATAACCAACAGCCACGGGTGAGCAGTCCCTGGGTTCCGTAGGGGCTTTGGAAAGTCCTCTGAGCATTACTAGTGCTTCTGCAGGGGGGACTGTGAGCATGGGTGGATCGGGACAGAGCAGAGGCCCCCCACAAGAGCCATCAGCGCTGACCAGCTGAAGGACTGAGCAGAGTGTGTGTGTGCAGGTGTGTGTGTGCACATGACCGAGGGGGTGGCATGTGCTTGGCAGGGTCTGCAGAGAGGCTGTTGGCCAGGTCTTCACTCTCATCTGGCTTTGGCTTCATACTTCCTTCCCTGGCAGGACTGGGGAGGCCAAAGCGCACAGATGGCCATCTGGCTGGCACTTTAGGACACGGTCCAGTGCACACTTGCAGACTTCTCCTCCCCCACTCCTTCTCTGCTTCGGTGGCTCTATCAGCTCTGCAAAGGAGAGACAGGGCCAGGTCAGAGATGCACCGTGGAGTGGTCTGCAGGGGGCTCAGGGCACAGCACTTCTGGCTTCAGAATTTTAAAAGTTCAGTGCTGGGGAGGATGAGGACAGTTCCTCCCAAGCATCACTGCAGCAACTCTGTGTCTTCCAGAGTTTTGGGGGTGGAGGATACAAGAAGGGGAGGGAGGTAAGAGGTTCTGGGGCAAGAGGTGAGAGCTGGGGATGGGAACTAGCTCTGGTCCCAGCTCACATGCCTACATACTCCGTACCCCGGCCAGATAGCCAGATTTTGCAACAATGAGTGGACATCCCAGTTAAATTTTCATTTCAGATAAACCATGAAAATTGTTTAAGATACGCATGTCTCATTGCAATATTAGGACATGCTAAAAAATTATTGGCTCTTTAACTGCAATGCAGACTTACCTGGGCACCCTGTATTTTATCTAGCAATCTTGTGCCCTGGGTGTGTGGGATGGTGGACCCTCTGTGGGCCTTTGTTGCCTGCCAGCATCACGAAGATGATGGGTAGGGCCAGGGACAGTGGAGGACCCACCTTGTCCGTGGGGATGGATTCTTCCTGTTTCATACCAGGCCCATTGTCCAGTGATGGGCAGGGCAGGCACCTCGAGAGTCCATGGAGACGTGTCGGGGAATCAGTGAGTCAGACCTGCTCTCACAGAACCCCCAGTTTCCTCTCCCCCTCACGGAATGGGTCAGCCTGAGTGAACTGCTGGCACTGTTGCACGAGAGGACCAGCTCAGGGGCTGTCCTGGGTCACGAGGGTGCCCTTTCAAAGGGTCCTGCACTGTCTGCCTATTTCAGGACTTCTCCTGCTTGTCATCTAACCCTGTTCTTGACAACTGCAGAAGGAGGCCAGAGAGGGGAATAGGATTGCTAAGGCCACACAACACGTAGTGATGAAGCCAGAAGCAGCCCTCCACCCACCCAACTCCCTGCCCTGTGTCCTTTGGGAAAATACCTGCCTGGCCCTGCACAGTGTTCCCTGAGCAGAGGAGGGTTATCCTTGGGACCATGGGGGTTCTGCCCAATGAAGCCTAATAGAGCTTAGAGGGGGTTGCCCAAAATGTGTTACATTTCTTGCAGCCAATCTGGCCTTGCTAACCGCTTAAGCACAAACAATTCCATATGTCCAACGGGCTGATTAGCCACAGAGAGATGGGAAGGGGCCGGTCACAAATAAGGATCTATATTAACGAAAGATCCAGTGATAGAGGTCCAGCTGAAGAAAATTAAAAAGATTGTGTTTTCAAACACTGCCCCCCAACAGAGGAATTTTTCTAGCTACAAGTGAGTGCCTTACAAATTTCAGACACTAATGTATTGACAAAAACAAACAAACAAAAGTTGAAATGCAGGAAACCTCCTGGGCCCGATAGAAATCTCAATGAGGTCCTATCTGCTTGGGTTTGTTAAAAAAATGCAACTAACAATAATATCTGACACAAAATTCTTCCATGGTCTGGACGCCTCTCATCCATTGTTCTCTGGAAAAATGTCTCTTTAAGCATCTGCACGTTGGCGGTCGTTAGGGGGAAAGAGCTCAGCAGAGTTTTGTTTATTTATTTATGTCCTTTTGCTGTATTCTGATAAAGCACAGGCAGGCAGGCGGCACAGCATCTGGCTTCTTGGAAAAATGGCTGCATGGAGGATTGGGGGCCCTGGCTCCAGACACAGGGGCATGAGTGGGGGTCTCAGAGCACACAGTGATTCCATCCTCTCCAGCAACTGGTGCTGCAGTGAAATCTCCCAGGGGTCCCAGCTTCCCCTGCGGACATTCCCCAGTCCTTCTCGGGGCACCCCCTGCTCTCTCCTTAGTTCTGAGGACGAGGCAGCCTGGCTAGTGGAAAGCCATGAGTTTTGGAGTCTGGCAGACTAGGGCTTAAGTGCTGCTTTCACTCCTGATTAGCTGGGGGAGGCAGAGTGAGGAGCCACATACCTCCTGGCCTCCCTGGGAAACGAGTTGATCCTTCCTGCCTCGCATAGCCATCAAAGGGTTCACTAGCACAGGGGACAGGCACTGACGACTGTCACCTCATTTGCCCAGTGGGATGAAGCCTTCCTCCCCTGACCCAGCATGGATTCAGCCTAAAGATGGTCTCTAGGTTGCACCAGGGAAGCTCCTGCAGGCACGGACAGTGCCTCTCTCCCTCCAGACAGACCCTGTATTAGGAACCCGAGTGAGAACATAAAATTTACTTGCTGAGTGTCTTCCAATGGCCCAGGAAAGGCTCTAAAGATCGGGGTGTTTCATTCCAGGGAACTGCCTGGGACATAAATGTGAATTACTGCAGTTCTGCAGCGTCCAACAATAGCACCGGTGTCCACAATAGAAACTTCAGCCATGGCGGCTTTGCACACTGTGGCTACTTTGCTAAAGACCTCATGTAAATCAGCATGCCCCCCAGCTGCCACAGAAAACCCCAAGTTCACTTCCCCCAACTCCACACTGCTCAGATGCCGGAAAGTTCTTCCTTCTGTGGAACAGATCATCTGTCTCCTTTAGCTTCTGCACATTTACCTTGCTTTTGCCCCACAGAGACTCCCAGGCCAATCTGGCCTCCTGCTTGGGGACAAGTCACCCAGGGGATTAAAGACAGATCTCAGGCCCCACGGACCAGTCCTGCCCTCAGTCTGCATCCCTGCTCCCTCTGTGGTCTTCGTTGGAGGGTCTCTGCCTGCCTCCTGCCCTCCCCTTGCCTATCTCTGGTCTCTCTCCTCCAGGACTCAGCTCCATGACAACAGGCCTCTTTCCTTGGCAGGAAACCCGTGCTGAAGCCTGGCCATGTCCAAGAGTGCCAATCCAAGAGCAAAAACACAATCCATTTCATTTCTGTAACCCCAGCTTCCTGATTCCCAGACTATGGTGGAGCTGATGTATTCTTAAGTAGGAAGACACATTTATTTCCTCTTTAATCAAACCAGGAAATTACCTGGAAGATTCAGAGAGTTTGAATCACTTGTGTAAGGTCACACAGCAACTCAGTAGTCCGGCCATCTTGGGAAACCAAGACTCTGACCTCCTGGACTGGGTTCCTTCCTCGAGAACCTCTGTGGTAACCAGTTTGGCTCTTCAGGCTGGGGAGGACCTGTAGCTGACAGCAATCGACGAGATTCAGTGCTATGTCTATTGTAAGTGTCTGTGTTGAGAAAACGGAAACCACAGAAAAACCATCAGACCTTCCCAGGGCTACAGACACACTGGGCTTCTGTCCACCTGCTCAGAGTCCAACATGGATCTGGAAATCAGCTCACCTGAAGGCCCTGCAGCCCAGTGCAATGTGTCTAAGAGCAGGAGAAGGAGAGGAAAAGCATGCACAGCTCTCCTGGCTCCCCCACCCCCAGAGGAAGTCCAAATCATTCAGAAAAGCAGATACCAGAATATTCTGAATTTCCAGTAAGGTTTCCCTTCCCAGGAAACGTGTGGTCTGGGGAAGGACAGAGACACCTATGGGTGGGGCCGCGAGCCCCTCCGGCTTCACAGGAGGAACATTTCCTGAGCACCATGGCCCCTTTCATTTGTAGCCTGCCACCCCCAGTGGAAGTGCATTAAAAACACACACACACACACACACACACACACACAATGCTTCAGAGGTCTGCCTTTGCCAGGAACTCTAGAAATAACTCGCTGAGAAACATCTCCATCTCATACTCACCACCTACAGAGAAAACGGTCCAATACGCTGGCAGCTTGGCATGGGGAGAGGCTCAGAGAGGGGAATGCAGGAGTGAGGCTGTGTGGGGGGTTGGTGGGGGCCCCACGGCTCACAGGCCATAGCTGTCAGGGCCCTCTGCACATCTGGGCTCAAACACCGGCCCTGCCACCTGCTGGCAGTGTGACTTTAGGAGAGGTGAGCACCCTCTGGGCTTTGGGGACCTCATCTGTAAATGGGGCTGATCACGTATGACCTTGTCCACAGAAAAGTTACAGCATGCCGGGTAGGAACAAAGTGCAGCTGGTTCTGGAGTCCAGGCAGGATAAGGGAAGGTCCCTGGATGAGAAAGGACAATGCAGGATCAGAGGGGCCAGTGGTGGCAGGTTCCTCTCATTTCCTCCTACTGTGAATGCATTGTATTCTCTGGGACTTTTGGTCTGTTATCAGGAGAGAAGGACAAATGATGTGTTAAGTCTAGCTAGCACCCCTATTGTGAAGATAGGGAAACTGAGGCCCACAGAATGTGGGTGTCTTCCTGAAGTCACAGAAAGGGAAGCTGCTGAGCTAGGCTCTTGCCACCCATGCTGGACTGCTGCCACCCATGCTGGACTCTGCATGTCCTAGCAAACCCCTTGGGGAGCTGTGCACCTCTGAGGGCATGAAGCCTGGGCACGTCTGCAGGAATCCAGAATGTGTTGCCACCCGGGCCTGTCTTCTGCATTTCCCTACAAAAGTGACCAGCACTGAAGTCAAATGGACAGCTAGAGAGGGGAAAGGGACCCAGCTCTGTCCCTTTCCAGGTTGTGGCATGGTGCATGGGGCTTGACTCTGTGGGCATCATCTGCCTATCTGTGAAATGAGGACATGACTCTTACCTCCTAGGACCACTGGTGAGCATTAGTCATTCATCAAACAACTACTGATGGGTATTGATTGCCTAAGTTCCAGCCACTATTCCTGGAACTGGACAACATCAGAGAGCTAGGCAGGGGCTCTGTGCACACGCTTCTCCCTCTCTAGCGAGGCAGGCAGCCATGTGACAAGCAAAAGAGAAACACGCAGGATCATTTCACATTGAGATAATAATAAACAGTGCAGTGTGAGGGCAAGTGAATGGTGTGCGTTGGGCTGGGAGCTGTTTGAGGATGAGAGGGAGGCAGGGGGCGACAGCACCTGCCAGGTTGTAGAAACCACAAGTGCCAAGATCTTGAGTGTGGTGGGAGTGGGGAGGGGATGCCACGGGGAAGTAGCAGGGCCTGCTGTGAGGCTGAGCCGGGCACACCAGTGCTGGATGCTCCATCACGTTCGGGCTGGATGCCATGCAGGAGTCTGGGGGCAGCCTTCACAGATGCCCCACACTTTGTGGGCCCAGGCAGGAATCTGGGCAGCACAGGCTGATGTGTGGGCTCTCTCGGGGCACAGGTGCCTGACCCAGGCCTGGTGGGAAGGTGGACGTCGATGTCACAGAGTGTCTGGAAGGTTTCCATCTGCCTCTGGTGGGCTGACAGCAGACAGGGTGAAGCCAAAGGACAGGGAATGTAAATTGCTGAAATCACCTACCCCTGGAGCCTTCCCAGATAACATAGGCATTCTGAGGAGAGGTTGTGGTAGAGACACAGAACAGGAAGAGAGAAACCTACAGAGCAGACTGCTTGTTTGGATCCACAGTTCCAGGTGTGCTCTGCAGATCACCAGTTCCCTAGTCTATTAGTCCGTTCTCGAATTGTTATGAAGAAATGCCCAAGACTGGGTAATTTATAAAGGAAAGAGGTTCTTATTTTATTTTATTTTTGAGATGGAGTCTTGCTCTGTCGCCCAGGCTGGAGTGCAATGAAGTGATTTTGGCTCACTGCAACCTTCACCTCCTAGGTTCAAGCGATTGTCCTGCCTCAGCCTCCTGAATAGCTGGGATTACAGGTGCAACCATGCCCAGCTAATTTTTGTATTTTTTTTTCTTTTTTTTTTTTTTTTAGCAGAGACGGGTTTTTGCCATGTTGGCCAGGCTGGCTCGAACTCCTGACCTCAGGTGACCCACCTGCCTCGGCCTCCCAATGTACTGGGATTACAGGCGTGAGCCACCGTGCCTGGCCAGAAAATAGGTTTAATTGGCTCTTGGTTCTGCAGGCTGTACAGGGAGCAGACTGGCTTCTTTTTCCGGGGAGGCCTCAGGAAACTTCCAATTACGGTAGAAGACAAAGGGGGTGCTGGCACTTCACCTGGCTAGAGCAGGAGGAAGAGAGGGGGAGGTGCCACACACTTTTAAACAGCGAGATCTTGTGAGAACTCACGATCACAACACAGTACCAAGGGGAAAATCTGCCCCCGTGATCCATCCACCTCTCCCTAGGCCCCACCTTCAGCAGTGGGGATTACAATTCAACATGAGATATGCATGGGGACACAGATCCAAACCATATCACTGAGTTTAGTGGCATTCCTAATGCATTCCCCTCCTTTCTTTATAAGAGTTTATTCAGGTATACACTCTTCATGGGCTTCAGGTGAGGCAGGCCCCAGTCCCAGTTCCTGCCCCAAGACTGATCAAGGAGGAACCATGATCAGTTTCAGCTAGAAGTTCTCCAATTTCCTATGTTTATGGGGCCCTTAGTCTCAGCAATTTTTCTCACTGTGCCCCTAAGCTAAAAGAAATATCTAACCCTTCTGCTGGGTTAGGCCCAGACAGCTTAGTAAGTATTTAGGCCCTAACAACTTAGCCAATCGCAACTAGCTAATTGTAAAGACACTATACGTGAACTGAAAGAAAAAAGGTATACTTTTAATTAATATATTCTTTTTTTAATTTTAGAAACTTGTTAAAAAACTTTTTTGTAGGCAAGTGGAACTTAATTTGGTAAAAAAATATATGTTTTTATGGTATATAACATGATATTTTGATATATGTGTACATTGTGGAGTTGCTGAGTCAAGTTAAATAACACATTCATTATTCATATACTTATTTTCTTGTGGTGAGAACACTTAAATATACTCTTAGAAACTTTCGAGTATATAATACGTTGTTATGAACTACGTCACCATGTTGTACAACAGATCTAGTTTATTCTACTATAATCACTTACTAGTGGAATGGATGCACCTGTTGGGCACTGCACAACTTCTCACACTGTGTGTTTGGATTGGACACCAGCACCCCCATTTCACATTCCACACTGATTTTCATTCCATACTTGTTTTATTTCAGCAATCACTAAAACTTCTCAAAGATACGATATCATCAAATGTCTGTAGCATGATTAATGTTGAAACCATGAATAAACTGAGCTAAAAAGTAGTTCAAGTGGGCTGGGTGCAGTGGCTCATGCCTGTAATCCCAGCACTTTGGAAGGCCAAGGTGAGCAGATCACGAGGTCAGGAGGTTGAGACCATCCTGGCCAATATGGTGAAACCCCCGTCTCTACTAAAATACAAAAAAATAAGCTGGGCATGGTGGTACGTACCTGTAGTCCCAGCTACTTGGGAGGCTGAGGGAAGGGAATTGCTTGAATCCGGGAGGTGGAGATTGCAGTGAGCCGAGATCATACCACTGCACTCCAGCCTGGCGACAGAGCGAGACTGTCTCAAAAAACATACATATATAAAAAGAAAGTAGTTCAAGTGGTGTCCAACAGATGTCCAGCATTACTGAGTTTTCCTTGAAAGCTTAAAATATCCCCTGGCACCCCTGAATTTGGTGTGGCAATCTGGGGTGCCTCATCCCTTAGTTTGGGATAGAGTGGACTTGAAGCCGTAAATCATCTGTTTAGGTAAGAGACTGTGATGCAATTCCGGCTGATGAAATGTGGAGAGAAGTCTTTTGAGAGATTCCTAGAAAAGGGTCTCCTCACCCTATCAAAGCTGTCTGGGAGGATGCCTTCTGCTGGGGGCTGTTGCAGAGTCTGCGTAGGAACCTGGACCCGCAGCTGCCCTCTTGGACCCAGAGGACCACTGTCCCCAGGAGAAGACACTGGATGGTGAAGGGGATGGAGGGGCTGTGGCTTTGGTGGCATTGTTTGGCTGCTGAAGCCTGGAAATACCCATCTCTGGACTTGCTATTTTGTAAGCTAATGCTGTCCTGGAAAATGTAGCCTATTTAGAGCTGGATTTCCTGCTCACTAGCAGCAAAAAGGACCCTTCCTGATACACTGCAAAGAATGTTTGGGAACACCACACTTTCTATTCTCCATTAGGGTCACCTATTAAAGTCTCTGAGAAATCCCACAATCCTCTGTTTACTTTGGTTCAGTACAGTTTGCCAAATTTACTTAACTGAGAAAACCTTTTTTTTCTGTAGAACCTAATTATACCTCACAGAACATTTGTGTGCCAAAAACCACATTTTTTTTTTTTTTTTTTTGAGATAGAGTCTCACTCTGTCACCCAGGCTGGAGTACACTGGTGCGATCTCAGCTCACTGCAACCTCCACTTCCTGGGTTCAAGTGATTCTCTTGCCTCAGCCTCCTGAGTAGCTGGGACTACAGGCACGTGCCACCACACCCAGCTAAGTTTTGAGTTTTTAGTAGAGACTGGGTTTCACCATCTTGGCCAGGCTGGTCTTGAACTCCTGACCTCGTGATCTGCCCTCCTCGGCCTCCCCAAAGTGCTGGGATTACAAGTGTGAGCAACTGCACCTGGCCGAAAAACACAGTTTTGAAAGGACGCCTTAGATCCCTCCTCACGGCCCCTCATCCCCTACCCACCCCAGAAGCCCGTACACACAGACGCCCACCTCAGCAGAGTGCCAGGGCCCACATATGTTTCTATTCAATGGGGAAGACTAACCAAAGCCAGATGTACCTGGGCAGCCCACAGGCAGAGGAAGCAATGATGTCATGTTCCAGCCACGCAGGGATTAGCTGCCAGAAAGCCCCCATGGAGGAGTGGGGCCTGGCTGCTAATGGATTCAGCAGGAGCCCCCCTGTAGGCTTTACACGACCAAAGTGCATGACTGCTGTGTGTGCATGATGGCCGTGCCTGTGACCACTGTGTCCCTGACTGCTGTGTGTGTGATCACTGTGTCTATGACCACCGTGTCCCTGACCACTATGTCCCTGACTGCTGTGTTGGTGACTGCTGTGCCCATGACCACTGTGTCCATGACTGCTATGTCTGTGACTACTGTGTCCATGACCACTGTGTGTCTGATTGCTGTGTCCATGACCACTCTGTGACCACTATGCCCGTGACTGCTGTGTCCTTGACCACTGTGTCTGTGACCGCCGTGTCTGTGACCGCTGTGCCCATGACTGCTGTGTCTGTGGCCTCTGTGTTTGTGGTCTCTGTGTCCCTGACCACTGCGTCTATGACACTGTGCCTGTGACTGTGTGTCCAGTGCCACCGTGTGTGTGGGATTGCTGTGTTCAAGAGCACTGTGTACTTTTGGGCTCAGTCCCTCTGTAGCTCCTAGGACGGGGCCCTACTGTTGCTGTTGTCAGTCCTGCCACCCAACAAGGCAGTACTCTGTGTATCTTTCCTTGGCTCCTGGTCATGCCTCCTCTCATCCCCCATTCTTGGCCTCCCTGACCCAGGAGGAGGACAGAGCTCTGTTGACCACTTTCTGCATGATTTAGGCCATCCTTCTCTACTTTGGAGCCCAGAGAGTATCCGCCCTGTGATTTTCCAAAAGTGTCCCCTGGCGACCATTGGTTTCTGAAGAGGAACTGTAGGTTATGTGTCGGGGTGAGGAGGGTCCTAGCTGCTGCCCTTGATTCAACCAGGACAGCTTTCTGCTCATCCTTTTTATCCACTGGGTTCCCACAGAGTATTTCATTGGAAGAACAGTTTTTGTGGCAGGAAAAAATATTTCCAAAGTAATGATATTGACCAGTATTGCGTTTTTGCAGGAAGGACTGGGGCCTCCTCTCTATGCTGTGGAATCCCTGGAGATTTGTGGGAGAGCCAGATGGGGTCAGGGCAGAGGAACGGAGGAGACCGCCTGCGAAGGCAGGAGTTTGTTCTCCCTGTTGACTTTGCCTGCCATGACCCAGGAGAAAAAGCCCTTTGAAACCATCAGAGAGCAGTCAGGCAGACCCACAAGGCATGCTTCTCAAACTCTGGGTCACTGGTGAGGAAGCAGGAGGCAGGCAGAGAAGTACAGCCTTGGAGGCGGAATGCATTTTATTTTCTCAGCCAAGATTTAGAGGCTGATGCTGACACCCCGACCAGGCCAGGCACCTTTGCACGAGAGCTCAGCTCAGCTCTGGACCCTCAGAACTGCCGGGCTCAGTGGTGTGCATTTGGCAATGGGAGCCCGGCAAGGCATGTGCAGGGATAACTGCACCATCAGGCACAGTGGGCACGGTGCCCACTGCCCAGAATACTTGCAGGTACTCTAAAAAATGTTTTTATTTCTTTTAAAATCAGAAGAAAAAAAAGCTTTCAGGTTGAAGAAAATCTTTCAATATATCATATTTATGTATTCGTCTTTACAACAATGCAGTTTTAAAATAAGAATTACATATTTATGGGGGAAGGGGTCCATTAAGGGAAAAATGCCCGCCGAAGTGCTGATGGAGTTATAATGTGTCCCTAAGTAAATGACAGTGAATTTCAGACCTTGTGTTAGCTTGGGCTGCTGTAATAATACCACAGACTGGGTGGCTTAAATGACAGAAATTTATTTTCTTGCAGTTCTGGAGGCTGGAAGTCCAAGATCAAGGAGTTGGCAGGGCTGACTTTTTCCAAGGCCTCTCTCCTTGGCTCCCAGGTGGCTGTGTTCCCCCTGCATCTTTCCATCATCTTCTCTCTTTTTAGATGGAGTTTCACTCTTTTTGCCCAGGCTGGAGTGCGATGGTGCGATCTTGGCTCACTGCATCCTCAATCTCCTGGGTTCAAGTGATTCTCCTGCCTCATTCTCCTGAGTAGCTGGGATTATAGACGTGCACCACCACACCCAGCTAATTTTATATTTTTGTAGAGATGGGGTTTCACCATGTTGGCCAGGCTGGTCTCAAACTCTTGACCTCAGGTGATCCACCTGCCTCGGCCTCCCAAAGTGGTGGGATTACAGGTGTGAGACACCATGCGCAGCCCCTGGTCTCCACTTTTTATACTGATGCCAATCATACTGAATTAGGGCTCACCCTAATGGCATCATCTTGACTTCATGAATTCTTTAAAGTCTCTATGTCCAAATATAGTACTGAGCATTAGGGCTTTAACATATGAATTTACGGGGACACAGTTCAGCCCATAACAAATCTTCTTGCATAAATTCATGCTCTTTCTTTGCAACTGCCTTTCCCTTCTCATCTCTTTTTTTCCCAGAGAAAGAGAAAGACCCTATCTAAAATGCTTTCTGCTTCAGAGAGCATCAGAAGGGAAGCTTGCCCAGGCTCCCTGGTTCTTTCTTTTGGGCTGTGGGTCAAATGCTGTCCAGTGCTGACCTGGACAAGTTGAGGATACCAGAAGGAATCCAAGGCGCCACTAGTGCTGTGGGTGGACCCTGGTCATCCCCCTGCCTCTGGATATTAGAACTCAGTTTAGCTACATTCGAGATGTAATTCAAGGGGTCACTGGGGAATGGTTATATGTGATGCCCAAGTGTGTGGCTTCATGGTCCCCCAAAGACCAGGTGCCAGGGCAACCCTTCCCCACCTGCTCCAGCACTATCCACCCCATCCCAGTACTGTCAATTATATGGGGTCAATGGTGTGGCAGGAGGATGGTTCTTGGTATTAAAACGGATCCATTTCCTTAGGGTTGAAAACGTAGAGGATCCAAGCAGATCCTAGCCTCCTGAATGCCAGGAATTCTTGATGTTTTATTAGGATTTTGTCAAGAAAGGGGGAGTGAGAGCTCCTCACTGTTCCTGATTCAATGAAACTGGAGAGCCTGTTCTGCTGCCCTTGAAAATTCAATGTTACTTTCAAGTGTGGAATGTCCTGTAATTTTTGTGAAATTGGCTTTTATTTTAAATGAGTCCTACTGAGGGTAATCCAAACATGAAGACGAGAAGGAGGAGAAGGAGAAGGGAGGAGGAGGAGGGTGAAGAGGAAGAGTTCCAGTGGCATGAGAAAGCAGGGCTGAGTCTGGGAGTTGGATTCCCTCTTGTCCTGCCCTGTGATGTGGTGGCATTACCTTCTCTGGAGTCTCCAATCCTAAGACACTAGCCTGAACATGTCTCAGCAATTTTTCCCCCATGGATTTGCCCATATACCTTGATGGATCTTACGATATTTGCCATAAAATTCAGGGTCAATGGTCATCACCATTCTAGAGCGAGTACCCATCCAACCTGGAGCAGGATGGGCAGAGCCAGGGCATGGGGCTGAGGCCTGGTACTCAACCTGGGGAGCAGAGGATGCAGAAGGAAAGGAGCCGATGGGCTCCAGGCAATCTCCTCTCTCCACCTGGTCTCCCACCAGAGGGACAGAGTGTGGCCTGGGAGGCTGGAGGTCTGGGTTTGGCCCCTCCGAAGAGACCCATTTCATATGTGGCTTTGGGCTAGCCTCTCTGTTCTTAGGCTCCCCATCTCCTAAATGAGGGAGTTGGACCAGATGAGTTCATCAAAGCCACTGGGTACCAGCCACCAGGTGCCAGCCTCAGGTGCTGAAGATGCACAAAGACACAAAGACAAGCCCATAGCCCTCCCGGAGCCAGGTAGCCTGCTACAAGCCAGGCTTGTTCACTTGCTCATTTTTCCTGCCTGAAATACATTTATTTTTTTCTCATGATGAAAGCTACTCATGCTTATTATTTAAAATATATATACAGAAAACATGGCCAAGGAAAACAAAGACAGAAAAATGATCCCCATAAATCTCACCCACTCAGAGACAACCATGTTTAGTGCTTGGATTTTCTTCCAGACCATTTCCTATGACTAGGGACACTCATACTTAAATATAGGAACAAAACAGGATCATAGTGCTTATTTTTTCTGAGTCCTCACGATCATTCTATGAGTCAGTTAGTAGTAGTATTTTTACTTTATATATGCAGAAACAGAGACTCAAAGAGGCTGAGTAACTTTCTCAAGGTGACAGGACTGTGACTCAATGCCAAATTCAGCTGACGTCAAGTCGAAAGCTCTTTCTCAACACCCTTGTCCATGAGGGAGCCAGGTAGGTAAATGACGGATTGTTCCAGCATTAACCAAACCTCACAGAAGCTGGAGACCCATGCACTTGTTTTAGGATAGCTGAGTAAAGGTCACAAGCAAGTCAGCCTTTGAACGGTGTTCTTGGAAACAAGGGGGGCTTTGTCAGGTGGAGAAGCAGCAAGGAAGGTGCTTCAGGCAGATGGAAGAAACAAACAAGTCAAAAGAGTGAAGGTCAATCAAGTTCATGGCTCCCTCAGTACAAGAAAGCAGCCAGGGAAATTGGATATGCATAGACAGGAGTGTGTGTGTGTGTGTGTGTGTGTGTGTGTGTGTGTCAGGGGAGGCAAGGGGATGTGGCAGGAGGTGAGCTTGCTGGAGTTAGGCTGAGGAAGGCCATAAAATATGCTGAGCAGTTCAAGCTCTCTTCTTAAGGTGATGAGAGCTATTAAGGGTTCTTGATGGGATATGAATGGATCTTTTAGGGGGACACTCTGGAGGCCCTGTGGAGGGCGGATTGGGGTAAGGGGAGTCAATCATCTGATTCTTTGATCCTCTTTCCAACCTCAATTAGCATCCCCAGGAAAGGGAGGCAGAAAGAGTGGGGAGTGAGGTCCCATGAGTCTTGGGAAGATGGCTGGATGCCCAAATACTCCATCTTATAAAAGGCTCACCTCATGGGCTGATGAGGAGGGAAATGAAGCCAGAGGTGTGTGGTGGAACTGTGAATGAGCCCACCCCTTAGAGGGAGGAAGAGGGGAATGAGGGACTGATTTAATGGTATTGATTCCTGCTGTGTCTTATTTCTGAAACTCTGCTCGGCTGTCTGTGCCAACATCTGTTTGTTCCATCTCCAGCATGAGGCAGGGCCCCTTTCTTTCCAGGACTGGGTTGGCATTGCTTAAGTTTGCACTTGGGTGGTTTTTTTCTGGGAGGATTGATGTCCTGCACTCCAATCAGCTGGGTCAGGCATGCACTCCACCTTCTACATAGTCCCATAGACATCAGAAAAGGTTCGGGGTGGAGCAGACATAGGGGCTCACATGGGTCAGGAACCTGGGCTGCCAAGGGAGCCTCTGCACAAAGGGCCAGAGCTGTGCAGGTGACGGGTGTGTGCAGGTGCGGGACTGGAGTCATGAATAGGTGACAGGTGGGGACAAACAGCTGCTGGTGAGTATAGGTTGAGTAGCTGGATGAAAAAATGAATGGGGGAGTGAGGCTAGGTTATACTGTGGCAAAACCAAATGGCAAAGGGTTAGTTTGTTCTTGTGCTGACTGTCCTTTGGGACTTGGGTGCCAGGTTAGGTCGTCTGAGAAACAGGCTCCCACATGGGAGTAGCTATGGCTTTATTAGGGGAGATGCCTGTGAAGGATAAAGGGTGGGGGAGCAGGAGAGGCAGGGGGAAGCTTTAGCCACAGTGCAGGTCTGACACCTGGGAAAGGAGAGAGAAGGAAAGACGGGGAAGGAAGAGCCTGGGATTGCAGCATGGTTCTGCGGAGTCCTGGGCCAGGCTGATGGCAAGTCCCTAAACCAAAGTTGCTCATTAGCAGAATCCCACATCAAGCAGGACTGAGAGTTCTAATATTCAAGTCATGGATACCAGCCATTTGCATGGAACAGCCAAGGGAAGCCAGTGTGGCCTGGGAGGAGGACAGAGGGAGATCCACAGGGAATAGCTGGTGGCCGTGGGTCAGCTCTGCCTAGAGGGAGGCTCTTTGGAAGGAGCCTCTGAGAGGGACGCCTCTATGGCTGCTGTGGTTGGCTGGGAACTCGGCCGCAGGCACTCCTCATTCGGGAATCCAGGCTTTTTTTAGAGAACCCACTGTCTAGAATTTTGCTGGTCACTATGACAGAGGAAAAAGATAACCTGGAGGATCTCACACTGTTAATTAAAGGCTCTAGTCCAGAAGAGATGTGTGTCAACTTTACTGGTGACCATTGGCCAGATCTGATCATGTGACCCCAGGATCCAGGAAGTGAGAGTCCAGGAAGGGGTCCAGGAAGTAAAATCAGCCACCGCATAGTAGGAGGAGAGCTGAAAATACTTGAACAGTGCTAATGCCTACCACAGTATATGAAAAGGAAAATGAATGAATGACGGGAAAAAGAGATGGATCAATGGAATGACTGAAAGAATGGAGAAGATAATGAAGGAAGAGAGAATCAAGGGGTGAAGGAGTAAATTAAGGGGTAAGTAAGCAAGTGAATAAATGAATGAATAAAGAAGTAATGAAGGATGAGTGTGGCCTGATGGATGAAGCAGAATGCATAGGATGTGGATGGATGAATAGTGAGAGATGAGAAAGGATGAGCTAAGGAGAGAGGCCATTGAGCCTCCTTTGCTTTGGAAGGGTAACAAGCAAAGCACTCCCCTTCTCCCCACTGCCACCTCCAGCCAGATGCAGCTACAATCCAATAATTGCACCAACCAGCAGTCCCTGAATGGTTACTGCAAAGGTGTCTCTCTAGAGGCCACTGGGGCTGCAACACAGGGCCAAGAAGGGACAGCCTTTCCTTCCCTCTGACAGCACGGCCCTGTATTGAACAGCTTTGTGAACATATTCTGGGACTACTAACGTCTGTGCCTGCCTCTTGCAGAGAGGGCTTGAGGGCTGCCAGCACATTGTGATCCTCTTGGAAGCAGCAGAGAACCTCCCCCCAACTTAAAGCCCACCTCGCTTTTCCAGTGTGCCCAAATCCACCTGATGAGAACCCTCTTTCGCTTTAAGCTTTGGCTGTTAAGAAGTCTTCTTTTAAAAGAAGGAATCCTCTAAATAAACCCACTCGCAATTATTGAAGAGCTATTGTACTGGTCACAGTGGAGGCCGCTGGGATGACAGTTACAAAAGGACCATGGGCAAGCTCCTTCCCTCTTTAGCCTCAGTTTCCTCATTTATTAAAGTGGAAGGGGTTCTGATAGATCCTGTTTTATACAAGACTGAGCACAAGATACTGGGTGATGAATGCAGTTCCTTGGTTTGACGGTTACAGAGGAGCTGAGTTGCACTCCCTTTGTCCTCATAGATGGGAAGTGGTCCTGCCCTTGAGGTCTCAAGGCTGACCTGTTGGTGAGTGGAACCAGATGATCAGGTCTAGTCTAGATTAAAGGACTAGTGACAATAACTTGGTTTGTGGTTGCTCCCAATTCAATTTGCTATTGAACAGCAAACAAGCAGGGCTGCAAGCCAGTGAATATGGGTCTCTGTACATCTTGACTTTCAAAGTGTATCTGAAGTTCAGGACTCAACCACTCCTGCACAAAGTGGGAGATCCGCCAGGCCAGAAAGAGCTGGGTGCTGCAGACTCAACGCTGTTTTCTGTAAACTTTCAGTTGAAGTGTAATATACATACAGAAGAGGTCATGAATAGTAAGTGTACAGTTTGATGGAATTTCCCAAAGGGAATACAGTTGTGTGACCAGTACTGTAATCAAGAAACAGAACATGTCCAGCATTCCACAGACCTCGGGATGCCTTTGCATCTGGCTTCTCTCAGTATTAAGTTGTGAGACGTCGCCACACTGTTGAGTGTAGCTGTGCTCTTTCTCCTCATTGTTGTGTAGTATTCCATTGCGCATCACTGCCTCTTATGCCTTAGACTGCATCAGCATTCAAGGTTCTACCTATCACCTGTGCAGCAATTTCTTGCTGCCCTGTAGTGACGAGCTTCTGCATTCAAATTTCTGTTGCATTATCAAGCTCACAGTTGGCCTGAGCAGGATCTGTCACTGTCGCAAAAACTATCAGCGGAAGGAGGCAGCAGCCAGATCCCCGGCCTTGATCTGAAACCAAGTCAGCAACACCCAGTGGAGATAGGGAGTGAAGCAGAGGGTTAGGGGGAGGATGTGCTGCCCTCACGCCTGGAACAAGCCCATGTGGGCTCTACCACCACCACAAAGGCGGGTGATTAGGGCTCATTAGAGTAACTGTGATGATGCAGGAGAGATATCACCTGGGTGTCAGATTTCTGGCCACCTGGCAAAGAAAGGTGTGTGCAGGAGAGAATAAGCAGGGCCAGGGGCAGACAGGCTCTTACCTGCAGGCAATAGATACTATGGCCTTGAGTGTGCAGATGGCAGCAAGGACACTGAGGCAGTCAGATGGTTAGGACTTGTGCATGGATAGGATGGGAAGGTGAAGAGAAGGAGCAGGAAGGGGAATGGCTGAGGTGCAGCCATCCACAAAACCAGGGGCTCCTGGATGGGGGTCAGAGCAGACTGTGGGCTTCTGAGGACAGGGCCCTCTCTCCTTCTTCCCTGTAGCCCCCTGTGCCTGGCACAGGGCAAGCCCACAAGTGGCACTAATTAAAGTGTGAGCCATCCCTCTTGGTCAGGATATCCCATGTCGGGATCTGCAGGTGAGACAGGGACCATATCCCTCCTGCCTCCCCACCTGATCAGGCTTCATCAGGTCTCCAGGGCTCTACCAGCTGTCAGGCAGCTGCAGGGATTTGGCTGCTGCTCTGCAGGGCCCAGGGAAGGAGGCAGAGTTGAGTCCATTAGCTCGGTGCTGTTCTCCAGGGAGCACGCAGAGGGATTATCTGGCTGCTTTGCCGCCTCCTGACTTCCCAGGACCACCCCTTTGGGACTCGATCCAAGGAAGTGAGCGATCCCCTCATTAGGCATAAGGAGTCAGTAATCCTGCCACTCCTCCTCCGTGAGCCTCCTGTGCACCGAGTCCAGCCTCAGGAGGAAGCAATGGGCTAGGCGGGCCAGGCCTGGCTTCTAGCCTGGGCTCTGCTTTTCACTCAGAGTGAGGCCTGGGGCACTCCCCATCCCTTCTGGGCTGTCTTTCCCCATCCGCAAAACGAGTACCCTTTTGTCTGAAAGCCCTTCTAGCTCTGGTGTCCTCCAATGTGTGACCAGAGGCAGACCCAGCTCCATCTCTGAGTGGGCCTGGGGGACTCACTCCCCCCATCTGTTTACTGTTTCCTCTTCTTCCCTGATGCCCAGCATGGTGGATGGGGAGTATAATGACCCTGACTTGTTCTCAGTGGAAAATGATGGCCAGGAGAAATGTGAAGTGTTAGTTACCACCTGCCAAGGACAAACTGAAATGACTAGTGGTGGCCCGTTTTGGGAGGGTAGGGGGAAGGGTAGGAGCCAGAGGCATTCCAAGGAGAAGGGAGAGACAGAAAGGGGTATAATAAAAACAAGAGCCCCACATATTGAGGGCTTGCTTAATCTATACCAGCACGTTACTAAGAGCTTTATGTTATATGGCATCTCACTTAATTCTTAATATCAAGGACAAAGCCCCAAAGCCCCAAGCCTCAGGGACTCAGAGGGTGAAGTTAGTTTCCAGTGCAAAATGAGGTAGAAGATGATGGAGAGAATACTCCATGGTCCCAGAGGGTCTCCAGCAGATTTGTTCTGGATGAGAGTATTTTAGACAGTCATGTTAACATGTCCTGAAACTGCACTAGGTTCAGTGGCTGAGAATGTTGATCGAAAGCTCAGGTGTGCAAGAAAAATGGAATTTTCTCACTTTTCCTATACAATTCAATTTCTGTTTCTGGTCCCCATTCCACCAAGGTGCTAGACCCAGGACCCTGTACATGAATGACCTCTCCTTGCTCAGATATGTGAGTTCTGGGAGCTATACAAGTGTAGGGGTGGGTGGGGTGCTGGGTCCTTGTGTGTCCTGGTTTCCACAGGCATGTCCTTCAGGCACCTGGCCCTCAGGTGTGATCCTGTAGGTGATGCAGGGCACTCCTCACACTTCTGTAAGTCCCCTGATACCTAGGAGCATTCTCTGCCCCTCCACACCAGGCTTGGCCACCCACACAGTCCTTCTGCTGCCTTAGCTACCCACTGGGGCATGAAATGCTGCGAAGCCGCCTGAGCTGCCCCTTCTGCCTAGAAATATCCTGCATCTCCTTTTCCAGAACTTTGTCTCCTCTCTAGCTCTTTCCGGGCTGTAGGGGTATGGGCCTTTCCCTTATTGATTTCACCAATCTATTTGGGAGTCATGGGGCCTTCCTGGAGAGGGTGTGCAGGGCTCGTCTCTCGGGGACACACTGACAACTCCATTTATATCCCTTCTTCCAATTCCCTTGCACTGATCATCCTCAGGGAAACCCAGACATGGGAGCTGGGACACTTGCTGTTACTCACTGTGTATCCTCCACATCCTTTATCAGAGACCAGCAGTCCCAGTAGGGATGGCTTTCTGGAAAGACATGTCTAGTTTCTCTGCTTCCTGCAGCTCCATCCCTTCCCCCAGGTAGTTAGACAGACCTCCGGGCTCTTTAGGAATATGGGCCTTGGTGAGAAAGGGAGGACCTACCTATAGGAATATGGGCCTTGGTGAGAAAGGGAGGACCTAGCTAAAATTCTGTGTGTACAAAGACAGAGGCAGAGGCTTCAGGGGAAGAGCCATGCCAGGCCCAGAGATCAAGGAACAGAGCCAAGGTGTCCTCCAGGTCTCCATCCCAGGGTTGTGGGACACCCCCAGCAGGGCAGCCTGCCAGGCCAGCCCTCCTAGTGAAGGCTCAGACATCCTCCCACCACAGCTCTGATCTATCCATTCCAGCAGGCTCCACAAACAGAAGGAGCTCCCTAGAAAGCCACCAAGACCCCTGCCATGGAGCCCTCCAATCAGCCTTGCTCCTGCCAAATCTGTTACTAATTTAAGCAAGACTCTAGGGGGAATATGGAAGACCCAAATGTATGCGCTGTGGGTCACCAAAAGGAATTCTGCCATGAGACAGGATTCGGAACCACAGTGTTTTGGCTTCCTCTTGTGCCAGGCTTAGGGGAGAAGTAGTTTGTCCATATCACCCACTGAAATAAGAAAGTAGGACCTCCTCTGTCTGCCCCCAAAGCCCACAAGATTCCCAATATACCTCATTGTCTGGGAGGCTTTGTGTGGCTACTAAAGTCTGTCTTCCCCCTGGAGAAGTTCACTGCATCCCTCCCATTTTGGAGAAGGGAAGAGACACGCAGTGGGTTAATGGGGAGTGTGTTTAAATCACAGAGGGTGAGCTCGTGTCTTCTTTGTATGTCAGCACACAATCTGCCATCTCCCCAAGTCTGTTCTGCATGAGTGAGTGAGAGTGACCCCAGTCACTGCTGTCATCAGCAACATACAGGTCATGGTGCCAAGGAAAAGGCCAATCAGACCAGATGTAAGACCTGGATCCACCCCTACCTGCACCCCAAGGACCGGCCAGGGGAGGGTGGATGTGCTGCACACCAGAGCCTCATGGAGCTTTTCAAAAGTGGGTCCCTGAGACACCACCCACCACGCCTGGGGACGATTAATAGATGTTATGGGAACAAAGGATTCTGTGGTCAGAGAGCCTGGGAAATGCTGAGTCAAAGGAGGTCGAGCATGTTTCATTATTGTAGGAATCTTTAGCTGTAAATATGCTGTATCTTGTTTACTCTCCCAGAAGGCTGTAGAATCCAGGATCCTCTAACTTAATTTGGTCGTAACTGGCCCTTTCTCTGAAGTATGGCGAGCATCACTTGGCTTCCTCAACACCCTTCTGGGAAGCAAGGCTCTGATGCTCATTAGAAAATAATCCCTGGGAAGGATGAACAGACAAATAATGCTGGGTCTGTGGGGGTCCAGGGAGGCAGCTTATGGCAAGGGCGTGTGTGTCCTGGGCTTTAAGAAAGGATGAGGCTTTGGAGGTAGGGACCTGGGGGGAGAAGGATCTTGCAGAAAAGCCAGTGCCGGCATTGGAGGCATTTGAGGGTAGTGGGTGTGAACAGCACATGGTGTGCAATTTGGCTGTGTACTTAAGAGGGAGAACAGGTGCATCAGGTTGGAAAACGAGGCTAGATTTGTTCTTATAGGTTAGGGTGTTATCACAGCAGAATGCATGGTCTCTGCAAAGGGTCCCCTATTTACAGACACCTCATCACTGACTTCCCGTGGCCCACTGACTTCAGAAATGAGGATGGAAGCCTGGCAGAGAAAGAACCTCTTTGCAAAACATCAGGCTCTGGGCCTCTTCTTTGTAGTGGGCAGTTTCCTTCTGACCTCTCCTTTCTGACAGGAGAGTGGCACCTTTCTATTCTCTTCACCATCGTAAGAGCCCAGAGAGCCTCTGCTTTGTTCAAAAGCCAGAAGAGAAGAAAAGGAATGGTATATCTTCCAGATCCTGGAAAACCTAGATGCGTGTAGCCAGGAAAGCAAAACTGTTCATTAAAACCAACCTGGGATCTTGCCAAGTGGGAGAAAGAGACTTGGGGCCAGGAGCCTCGGCAATGGGAAGGAGCGGAGTGGTAGTGGGTTATTTATACTCCACTTCTGGCACTGTCTGCCTGTGTTCTTTCAGCTAGAGGAAATGCTCCCATCCCTCAGACAGACATCTGATCATTATAATTTCGTGTTTGAAGACAGTTTTAGCCTCCTGCAGACACACATAAAATCTGCATCCGCCGCCCAGGATGGGGGACATAAAAGTTCTTTAAGAGGGTGGTAGACCTTCGCGGGATAGAATCCAGGCTGTCTCCAGCTGGGCACTGGGGCAGGCTTCTGCAGCTCTGCTCACACACCACCTGTCCACTCTCACCTTCTCCCTCTGCCCACTCGGCAGAATCTACCCATCCTTGGAGGCCCACCCAGACGCCTCTCTTGCAGGGGCCCTCGCTGAGTCTTCTCTCCCTGACTGTCTTGGTACTTTCTCTCCCCCCAGAGTTGATTTAGTTCACTTGATGTTATGCTACGCTGCCTCAGTCCCTAGCTGCCTCTTGTATACATAACCATATATTGAATGGGCTGAACTCGACGGGGCACGAACAGGAAATGGCTTTATTTCTCTCCCTTGGATGCTTTCAAACATGCCTGGCTAGATCTTCCCCACCCTCCTGATGGCATTGCAGGCATGTACCAGAGCCTCCCTGTCACATGCAGGGATAGAAAGTATTTTCCTCTCAGATATTAAACAGGTCCTATCCGGCCCACGCACAGCCTCCACGGACATCCAGTTCAAAGTTTCTCTCTCCCGGCAGCTTGGTGGGCAGAGGCCTGCGGTGGCCCAGGGATGGGTTGTGGTCAGTTCTTTCTTACTCTTCCTTTATGTCCTCCCCAAAAACAGATGCTAAAGTCCTAACCCCCAGGGACTCAGAGTATGACCTTATTTGGAAATAGTCTTTACAGAAGTGATCCAATTAAAATGAGGCTCTAATCCAATATGATGTTTCCTTATAAAAAGGGAAAATTTGGGCAGGGCGAGGTGGCTCACACCTATAATCCCAGCACTTTGGGAGGCTGAGACAGGTGGATCACGAGGTCAGGAGTTCAAGACCAGCCTGGCCAACATGGTGAAACCCCATCTCTACTAACAGTACAAAAATTAGCCAGGTGTGGTGGAACGTGCCTATAACCCCAGCTACTCAGGAGGCTGAGGCAGGAGAATCGCTTGAACCTGGGAGGAGCAGGTTGCAGTGAGTGAAGATCATGCCACTGCACTCCAGCCTGGGCTACAGAGTGAGACTTCATCTCAAAAACAAAAAACAAAAAAACAACAAAAAAATGGGGGGGTGGATGGTGGGGAATTTGGACAGGGAGACCGACAAGCAGAGAGGGAGACAACTTGGAGATGAGTGGGGAGCAGCCAGCTGTGGGACTGGAGCACGCATCTCTGAGCCGGGAGATTGAATGGGCCAGAAAGATCATCCCCTGGGCCCGTTAGGGGAAGCGCGGCCCTGCCCACACCCTGACTTAGGACTTCTGGTCTCTAGAACTGTGAGCCAACAAATTCAATTGTCTTAAGCCTCTGAGTCTGTAGGGTTTGTTCGGCAGCTCTAGGAAATGAATGCATCCACCTTCGTCCTGCTTTCCCCGGGGCCAGGCAAAGTGAGGAGCTGGAGAAAAGCAGACCCTCTCTTTTTGGATGGCCACTGCTGCCACCTCAGTTCAAGGAGAGGCTTTCAAAGTCTCTGTCAAGGCAGGTACCCCAGTGCTGGGTGTTCTGTGGACCCTCCTCTGTGACCCCCGGGGTGGGTCCCCATCACAGTGCCAGAAACTGCTCGCCTTCTATGGCCTCTTTTCAGCCCTGGAGAAGCTCACATTCTCTTTCCAGGGCAAAGGCGGGCCTGCAGGCTGCTGCAGCTGCCCTTGGCCTCACCCCACTCCGGCCAGCCTCCTGTCCTGAGTTCTAAGGTGGGACAGGTTCAGTTCCTACTCTAAGTCCCCACCCCCTTCCCCCACAACCCAGGGGACATGTGATAAACTCTTCTGGAAATTTCTGTGCCTCATGGTGGGCTTGGAGTTTCTGCAGTGCAATGGGCCTCCAACTGGGGAAGGAAGCATGAGTCTTCTCTCTGTACAGGCACCCCAATCTCTGCAAGAGGTTCTCTGGAGCCCCTGCTAGTAGCTTACAGGAGTGCACGGAGCAGCCGAGTCACAGTATTTTACGTAAAGTTTCCTCCACATTCACATCAATTCTCTTTCTTCTGCTTAAGCAGGGTGGATGTGGACTGAGGAGGTGAGGAGCAGGCAGTGTAGAAGCCTCTTAACAAATCCAGGAGGAAGGAACCTGGTAGCTATACCCCTTGGATGGTAGGGGCATTTGACACCCATTGTCCTGGGCTTTGGGGTTTCAGTGGAAGGAGTCCCACTCCTATCCAGTCCCTTAGGAGAACAAGTCCTAGATGTAAGAGATTGGAAACTCCCTGAGCACAAGGGGCATGGGCTCTGTTTTCCTCTCCCTTCACGTACAGCTACTAGGCCAGAGAGAGCCCAGGCTCTGGAGTCCTGTGGACCCAAGTTCAAGTTCCTGCTCAGTTACTTACCCAGCTGTGCATCTCAGGGAAGTGACCCAGCCTTTTCCAGTCTCTTTCCTCTGCCGGCTTTTACGTGGGAGTGGAAGGCAAGGAAAAAAGTGCCTGCTGCAGAGTCAGGTCCAGGGACACACCAGCCCTTGCCCCCACAGCATTTTGGGGCTGGCCCCATCCTCTGAGGATGCTGGAAGCATGCGGGTGACACTCTGGTGAAGGCTGTGGGTTTCTCCTCCAGCGAAGTTTGTTATAGGATTCAGGTTAAGAATCTCTGTCTGAACTCTCAGTGGCTTATCACCGAATTACACGAAATTGTTTGGTAAAGGAACAGCAGAAAGAGAGCCAAAAGATATTGGTAGCTGATTGGGGTCCCTGAGTCATCTGAGATGGTGACTAAGTAACCCAGCACTTTGAAAAGCCTGGACCTAAATTCCCAGGGGAATTTTTTCCCCACATGCCCTTCCCACAACATACTGGGCTGGATCCAATCCCACCTAGTACTGTTCAAATGCAATCCCTCTTGTGCATTGAGCAGTGTGCTGTGGCGCAGTCTCAGTGATTCCTAAAGTTGACTAAAACATGCCTTCTAAAGGGAAAGCTATCATTGCAGACCCCCAGTGTTGATAAGAATTATTTTGATCATATTGTTACTTAAATATATACAAACATAAAAGTAAGTATAAATCTCTTATGCTTTTAGCTCTTACACAGCTGTAAAACCAAAACACAATTACAAATTAAATGCAAATAAAGCTACAAAACCATTAAAATTCAAATTAATGGCATTAATTTAATGTGACAGATGATGTTTTGCTGAAAGTAAAACAACCAACGTTGGGTTTAATAATAGAAGGATACATTCCCATTTAAGTTCCGCTTGTTATCAACTAGATCATTTTGATGTTTGGACATGCTAGACCATCATTAGAGTTATTATCAATATTATTATATTTTTCATGTATTACAATGAACACACTTCTAAACACAGACCTAGAATTTTGATGAAGCGATCAACTTAATAGAGCACTTCAAAATATAATAATTTAAAATATATAGAAATATGTACCATTTAGTAAGACTATATACCATTTACCATTTCCAGCTGCTAGTGTTGTCTTGCAAGTTGTTGCAAACCAAGGTGGCATTCACTCAGGCACCTGCTTGCAAAACAGTGACTACAATTCTACCAGCTTCAATGCAGAGCAGCTTATTTGTGGCATGTCTGTGTCCCCTGTTCTGTTTGATGACTCAATCCTCCCTCCACTTATCTCTGTTTGAACAATTGCTAAACCTTTGTTTGTACAGCAGTCCATGAAGTCATTTGGCCTTCATTTTGCAAAAACATGATAGTAAACCCAAATGCAAATGTGAACTCTGCATTCCTGAAGCATTAGTTGGTGATAATATGATCATCCACACACAACCCCAATAGGGTCTCACTGATATTTTTCAATTTTTAAAATGAAAATATCAGAATAAAAAAAGACTCTCATATCACTCAAGGGCCCCTGACAGTACATCTGTGGATCCCACTTTGAAATCCCTGGTGCAGTGAAAGGAGGTCTGGCCTGGGAACCCAAGACTCGAGTTTTCGTTCTAAGTCCCTCATTGACCCACTGTGTTCTGTGGACCAATTTCCCCCTTTCTAGACTTCATCTGCTCATGATCAGTAATTGTCTTGCATTTTGGTCATCATCACATTTATCTCACCTGATCCCTCCCTGAGGTCGGTATGACTGTCCTCAATGACAGATGGGGGAAATTGAGACCCAGGTACACATCTGGTGAGTGAGGGGATGGGGTTAGGAGGCAGAGCTGGCTGACTCCAAAGGCACCACATGGCGGTGATTCACAAAACTGAGGCGCCCCCAGAGCCCTGCCAGATCTCTCAGGCTGCCCTGGAGAGCTTCAGTCTCTGATGACCCATGTCTTGGGACCCATGCCTCCTCTCAGCCACACATACACATATGGTCCCAGGCACAGCCCTGGAGAAAGTGGGAGAACAGCCTTGATTCATCCTCATCATCCTCCGATGACCCCACCAGCCCAGTGTTCAGCTCTGAGACAACATCCACCACCCCAGTGACAGGGGAAATTTCCCCAGCTAAATATCAGACACAGGTCCTGACAACTGAAGTTTTCTGATGGGTAAATTCATGTTTGTTTATTTATTTTGATGAAAAGACAGGTCTAAGTCTATAATTCAAATCCCATTTTATACACATGCATATGTATGTATGTATGCATGCACACATATATAAACATATATACATACATGTGTGTATATACATGTGTATGTGTATAGACTTTCCTTGGTGAAAGAGAATGAAATTTGCTTGAATTGGAGCTGTGCTGGACACAAGATTTGTGGTTGCCTTTTTGAGCTGAGGTATAGCTCCACTAGGGAAGAGTCTTCAGAGAGCAGCTGCCTCCCTGGGTCCTCAATCACTAACCTCTCTAATCTTTGGTGCCAGTGAGACTGTAGCTTGGGTTCCTCCCCTTGGAAACCAGAAAGACTCCTCATCTTATCTCAGAAGGCCCTGCAGGCACCATCACTCTTGGAATCCTCCCTCTTTCAGAATTGATGTGTGTGTGTCTGCAGCCTTGACATGTAGAGTGATGTCCAGGGCTTTCTGGAATTCTGGTTCCAGTGGGAAATTCAACTTGGTTCTAGGAAATGATGCCATTGGATTCATTCTATTCACAGGCAAGGAAGCAATCTTTAGGGAGGACCTGCTTTAACAACCCATCTTTCCTCCTTATGGATCTTAAGTTTTTAAAAGATTATTTCTTCTAGAGGGAGTTAAGTGATAATGAACTCATTCTTTCATTTTTATGAAACAAAGACATTTATACTTGACCATCAGAGATTCTAATTGGCATGTGGCTCATGCTTATGAGACCTGCAGAGTTGATAGAATCGCAGCTAAAACAAAGACATTTGACATTTTAGTTATTCATGCAGCCTTGCTCAGGGCACATGTACAATGATCATTAAGCTGTTTGAAATAGTGATATTCCAGCACTTGTGAAAAGAATATACTAGTGCCCACCAATCCAACATTGTGTCCCAGGAGAACTCAGGAACAGGTGGGTGAATGCAATTCCAGCTACACTTGTTCGACTGCAGGAAAACCCTACAGGTTGCTGGGCTGCAGTGGGGGAGGTAGGTCTTTGCTCTTGAGGGGTTCCTGATCTGTGAGCCAAGCCATTTTTTAAACTGACTGCTCTTTGTAGCGGGTGGATAAGAGGCAAGGACTAAACAGGGCTACCTTAAGATAACACTCTAAGGATGTCATCATGATTCTTAGGGACTGTGCATCGCACCTTATTCAGTACTCAAAGCCCAGGTATTTGCCCTGCCCAGGACTGCTCATGGATCATACCAGTTGTTCCTGGGGCAGAGTGATGAGGATCTTATATCACTGGGCATAGGGTCTTCTGGGCTGGGCCTTGAAGGACAGAAGCCTGCTTTACTCTCCGCTTTTTGACCTAGCCTCCACTTCCTCACTCTTTGTCTGTTCTGCAAGTTTGTACTCACTTCTCATCTGGAGCTTGCCATGGCTCCTGGGATCCCAGCTTCCTGCTCTGCTGAGGACCATGGTCGGTGTTCCCCCAGCAGCTTCCTTTTAAGCAGTCCCTGGCCCAAGCTACATGCTCAGTGAATATCCCTGCATTGACTCACTGAGGCCACTCCGGCCCAGCTGCCTATTGCTCCTACGCTATGGCCCTTTAGTCTCAATGGAAATTGAAATCTGGAGTGTTGGGCTGGCCAGTTATCCTCTGTCCAGTGAGGGCCCTGTCTAACTTTCTTGTCTTTATTTCTTTTCTCAGCACAGGTTTGGGCTATCACCTGAGAACATTCAGGAGACAGTACAGGTTCCCAGATGCAACGACTCACTCAGATTTGTCTTAACAGACCCTTCTACTGGCAATCTCAGGTGGAGCAAAAAGGAGCGATCATTAGAAACAAATTCATTGTGGTCTCTTGATTCTGGCCAGCTACTCTGCAAAGTCTGGCCTCCTGCACCTCTTGGGATGAGGTGGGGCCTCTTGTCAAGACAAAAGGGAGCAAGGGCCCCTGTAGGGGGAAGAAGGGCTGCCCAGGCCTGGTGTCAGTTGTTCCTGGGGCAGAGTGACAGGGACCTCTTATCACTGGCCACCCAGTGTCTATGGACCTTGGATACCATGGCCCCCAAGGTTTAAAAAATAATGGAAAAAGCCAAGATGGCAGGATTTAAGCATCTCAACATGGTCATTGCCACTGGAGCCTCTGGGCTGCATGGGCCTCTGGCAGGAGGAGGGGGTCAGGGCCAGGAATCAATTATAGGCAAAGGCTGGCTCCCTTGGGGCTGGTGCCAGGGAGAAAGCCAGCTGCCTCATCGCAGTGTCCAGGAGAATTTATGAGTTGGATCTTGGGGGTGAGTGGTGAAGGTTGAGCTCTCCAGGAAGCAGACTCTCAGAAGGAGTTTATGAAGCAGGACGCTTAAGAGGAATGCCTTGAGACAAACACCTGTGGGAAACGGGGAGGGAGGCAGGATGGGGCAGGGGAGAGGTGGAGCTGTGATGTGGCTTGGCTGACACCACAGAGTTGTTGGAACTCAGCTAGCTCCTCAGCGTCATCTCATGTGGGGCTCTGGCAGCCAGGCCTCTGCATCTTACCTCCTCAGTCAGAGGCTACTGGAACCTGACCATCCTTTAAGGACTCTAGAATCACCCTGACTCCTCTGGTTCTCTCAAAGCCCACACCCAATTCTTCACCAATCCCTGTGGCCTGCATCTTACAAACAGATCCAGCCTCCAAGCGTAGGTGTCTTCCTTCCTCCACGGCATTGTCCACGCTTCCACCACCTCTCCCAGAGCCACTGCAACAGCCTCCTGCCTCACCTCCCTGCTTCCACTCTTGGCCCTCTGGTTGTTTCTTTACCCTGAACCACAGCATCATTTTAGAATAGACATCAGAACTTGCCATTCCTCCACCCTTACTCCCATGACTTCCCTGACTCACACAGGCCAAGAGTCAACGCCTCGCCACTCTCTCCCAGCTCAGCCCCCTCCCTCCTGTTCTTGGGACATGCCAGGCTTGCTCCCGGCTCAAGATGGGTGTACTTGCCCTTTTACCTGCCCACTGGGCTTTCCCCAAGACAGCTACAGAGCGCATTTCCTCCCTGCCTTCAGATCCCTGTTCAAATACCATTTCCTCCCAGGGTCCTTCCCTGGTCATGCTATATGAAGTTGCAAACCCGGCCCACCCCATGATATTCCCTTTGAAGTTTGATGTGTCTTTGGGGCACCAAATGTATACAAGAATCTGGAGTTCAAAAGAGAGCTCCAGACTGGTGAAAAAGATTTCTGTGTCCTGGTAATACAGATGACATTCACACAGTGAGGATGGAGAGGATCCCCTAGGGCTGTCTTGTCCAATCTAGAAGCCACCAGCCACACTTGGCTACTGAGCACTGGAAATATGGCTGGTCTGCAGGGGTCATGTTGCATGAAAGGGTAACATGCACAGCAGATTTTGAAGATTTAGAAAAAAAAAGTAAAATATCCCATTGATAATTTTTATATTGCTTACATGTTGCAATGATAATATTTTGATTATATTGGGTTAGATTAAATCTATTATTAAAATTAATTTTACCTGTTCATTGGTACTTTTTAAATGTAGCTATTGGACAATTCAAAGTTACATCAGTGGCTCGTGTTGTATCTCCACTGAATAGCACTGGCCCAGGGAGTGGAGAGTTCATAGCATTGAGCCCTTGTGGCATCCAACATGTAGAGGTCGGGAAGTCAGGGATATCTAGTAGAAGAGACTGAGAATGAGAAGCCAGGGAGAAGGAGGAGAAAGAGAAGGTGAAGGAGAAGCATCATGAGGGAGCAGTGTCATCGACCAAGTGAAGACCATGTATGAAGAGGAGACTGATTCTCTGTGTCAAGTACCTGCTACGGGTTTGGTACAGAATGGACTCAAAACTGAGTATGGCACTGTGCACCATGAAGGCCACTGTGATCTTGATGAGAAGTACTTTGGAGCAGTGTTGAGGGTGAGAAAGCCTGATGGGAGGGGGCTCAAGGGAGAAGCAGGGGAGAACAATTGTAAACAGGGCATGTAGACATCCCTTTGTAGGAAGTTTGCTACAAATGGGCAGCAGGAAAATCGGGATGATAGCTGGAGAGGGAGGTGGGGTAAAGAGTTTTATTTTCAGCATAATATTGATAGGAAGCATTTTGTACACTTTCTATGGATAGACATTGTTCTAAGTACCTTGTATATATTAACTCGTTTAATCCACCAAGCACTCTATGAGTTAGTTACTATTTTGCTTACCAATTTACAGATGAAGAAATTAAGGCACAGAGAGGTTAAGTAACTTGCCTAAGGTCACACTGCAGTTAAGGAGCAGAGCTAGGATTTGAACCCCAGTCACATGGCTCTGAGGTTCTGCTTTAGCCACCATGCTATCTGCATCTTTATACCTGACAAAAATTCCAGGAGAGAAGAAAATTGATGATGCAGGCTAACTGCAAGAGGATTCCTGGAGATTTTTGTCTTTGGGGAAGTCAAGATAAGATGGGGTGGAGTGGGCAAGCAGAGGACTTGTCCCCAGCCAGAAGGAGGGGCAGTGTATGGTGCACAGTGCTACGGGCTGATATGCAAGTTCTCAAGATCAGCAAGGTCCTCCACTAAATGAAGTGCGGCAAGGAGGTGCTGGTGGTCTGCAAGGGAGATGATCTGTGAGCCAAGAAGGCACTGGGGCATTGCCAGGAGCATAGGACCCCTTGAAGCTCAAGGGCATGAGACAGGGCATAGACCACTTTACTCCAGCCTCTCCTTAATGTTTAAAATGGGAGGTCTCCAGGCCTATCCTGTGCCCCAGGGCTAGTCCCAGACTCCCCCATGGGCCAGCCCTGGGAGACACTCCGGGGTCACCTGGGCTCAGAGGATGCCAGACAGGCGGGATGGTGCAGAGGCAGGGCTGTGCAGGGCGATGGGAGTTCATCAGGTAGGGACCAGCCTGCAACCAGCTAAGGATGGACGGAAGAGCCTGGCAGCTCAGTCTCCTGACAGATTGAGGGCTGAGGGGGCTGGGCCTGCTGAAGAGGGAGAGGGCGGGAGTGGACATCAAGAAGAAGGGCCTCCAGGGCTTTGAAGGGGCCCATGGTGGGCCTTTGAATCCCTCCATCCGGGGTCAGTGCACCCGAGCGACTGGGCCCCCGTGCTCGCCAATAAAGTGTGTGGGACGGCCTTCAATTATGGAAGCGTAGCCAACCAAATCAGCTTTCAGATAAATTATTTATGCTGAGGCCTGCAAGGGAGGGAGTCCGGCTGCATGAACAACGTGTTCATTTTCATAAAACCCTGCAAAGTTGCAGTGGGCTGGGGAGAGGGTGGGGGGAAGAAGAAAGATGATTAGATTAGAAGAGGCCTGCTGTAAATAACACACAAGCAGGGCGTTTTGTTTCTTTTTGGGCTGTCTTTTGTATCATGTTTTATACAACAGAAAAGAGCAGAATACAACATCTAGGAAATGTTAATGAGGGTTATTTGCTATTTACCTAGGCTGGGGGTTTGAAGAAAGGGCTGGGCTGGAGGTGAGGGGGTTGTGTAGAAGATTGGATTCCATGCAAATGCAGACATCAGGGAGTCTGGAAGGCTTTGGAACAGAGCTGGACTGGAGGCTTGTCAGGTCCCTGTGGAGAGGGAAAGAAAGCAACAAATCCCATGGGCTGGAGGGTGTTTTCCCTCCTGCTCGGGGGGCCAGCCAATGGGCCTGGATGGGAGGGAGGGGTCCCAGTGGGAAGGCAGGTCAGCCCCAGAGAGCAGGCAGGTTGGGTGACTGCGAGAGTCCCTCCACCCTGAAATCTGGGGGATGATGACAAGCCAGGGGTGTCATTTCTGCCTTCCACAGTTTATCCACACCCCCTACCCATGGGAAAAACAGGTAGGGATGAGAAGAATGGAGCCTGCTTCCCTGGGGAGTTAGGTGCTGTCTGGATGACCACTACAGCCGCTTCTTCCCAAATTGATAGTGCTCAAGCTTTGGTGGTGCAGGTGACAGACAGGCCTTCTCTCTTATTCTAGGTGATGAGATGAGAGGACAGCTGTTCTCCCCTCACTCAAGGTAGCACTCTGAGGTGTCCAGGAGGCGATCCACAAATCATCCCACTGAGTGTGCTTACAGCCGGTTTCTCCCACCTCAGCCCTGCTGCGAGGAAGGACTAAGAAAAACAGCCTGCATGGGCCGGGCTTGGATTTCAAGTTCTCAGGTCATTTCTTCACCCATGATGCGCCTTTACTTCTCTCTTTTCCTCCTGAGTCACCACTTTGTGGCCACGGAGACAATCAGGCAAGGCTTCTTGGAGGAGGTGGTGATCGTGTTGGGCTTTGAAGGATAGGAAGGATTTCCGCCGGGCGCGATGGCTCATGCCTGTAATCCCAGCACTTTGGGAGGCTGAGGCGGGCAGATCACGAGGTCAGGAGATCAAGGCCATCCTGGCTAACATGGTGAAACCCCACCTCTACTAAAAATACAAAAAATTAGCCGGGCATGATGGTGGGTGCCTGTAGTCCCAGCAACTCGGGAGGCTGAGGCAGGAGAATGGCATGAACCCGGGAGGCGGAGCTTGCAGTGAGCTGAGATTGTGCCACTGCACTCCAGCCTGGGTGACAGAGCAAGACTCCGTCTCAAAAAAAAAAAAAAAAAAAAAAAAAGGATTTCAACAGGGATGGTAATATTATCATTCCTATTTTACAGATAAAGAAGCAACAGCTAAGAAAACTTAACTGGCTTATCCAACATCACACTTGGTTAGTAAATAATACAGTGAAGATGCCAATCCAGGTGTCCTAATACCGCACCTTATGTTTTTCCTACTGTAAAGAGTCTCTTCATTTCCTTACCACTCCAGAGAATGGCAGGGTTTAGAGGCTGTAGTGAGACATGGACCCTTTCTGTGTGGTGGGCTGATTTATATATTCGTATATTCCCATGGCCCAAGGGTGCTGCACTGTGTAACCCAAGGGGGCCACTACATGAAGGCCAATCCCCTGGAGTTGGGTAGTGCACTACATGAAGGCCAATCCCCTGGAGTTGGGTAGTGCACAACTTGAACATCTGTACCTGGAAGCCTTACCGGTATAGGTTACATGTACACAATACATGTCCAATATGTATTATTTTGAATGAATGAATAATGTGCATGAAGAACAATTTGTTGAAGAACAACAACAAAAAACCTGTATGGGACTATGTTTTATAACTGTTGTTAGGCAGTTGATTCTGTCAGTTGCCAGTGACAGAATCCTAATTCAAATTGGTTTCGGACACAAGAGAATTTATTATTTTGAGTAACTAAAATGTCTAGGTCCCGGAGGTACAGCCAACTTCAGGCATGGCTGGGAGCAAGGGCCCATAGGATGTTGACAGAAATCTGTTTCAGTCTCTAGACTCTGCTTGCCTTTGTGATGGTTTCATTTTCCCGAAAGATCTCCCCACGAGGTTGCAAAGATGGCCTCTAGCAGCTCCAAGCTTGCAGGAACTCTGGCAATAAATGAGCTTTTTTTCCAGTAATCCCAGCAGAAGTTCTGGCTCAAGGCTCATTGGACCACTGTGATTGATATGCCCACCTGTGAACCAGTCACAGAGGTGGAGGTTAGATGATGTTAGAGGTACAATAAATTGATTGGCAGACCTGGGGCTTGGTGGAGGAGGGGGGGCATGGAGTGCCCTAAACCACATGGACGGAAGGCGGAAGAGGTGTGTTCCCTAAAGAAAACTGAGATTCTATTACCAGAAGCAGGGAGAATGGATGTTGGACAGGAAAAACAACAGATGTCCCCTTCTGTGGCAGAATGCTTTTGTCAAATAAAATCTTTCTTGGAAGCCAGACATGCAAACCAAATACAAACAGGGCTGTCCTGGGGATGCCAGTGTGGGGAAGAGACATTCGGAGGGATCATTGCTTCCCGAACATAGCCTGTGCATTTTTTTTTCACTTTTTATTTATTTATTTATTTATTTATTTATTTATTTATGTATTTATTTTATTGATCATTCTTGGGTGTTTCTCGCAGAGGGGGATTTGGCAGGGTCATAGGACAATAGTGGAGGGAAGGTCAGCAGATAAACAAGTGAACAAAGGTCTCTGGTTTTCCTAGGCAGAGGACCCTGCGGCCTTCCGCAGTGTTTGTGTCCCTGGGTACTTGAGATTAGGGAGTGGTGATGACTCTTAAGGAGCACGCTGCCTTCAAGCATCTGTTTAACAAAGCACATCTTGCACCGCCCTTAATCCATTTAACCCTGAGTGGACACAGCACATGTTTCAGAGAGCGCAGGGTTGGGGGTAAGGTCACAGATCAACAGGATAAGAATTTTTCTTAGTACAGAACAAAATGAAAAGTCTCCCACGTCTACCTCTTTCTACACAGACACGGCAACCATCCGATTTCTCAATCTTTTCCCCACCTTTCCCCCCTTTCTATTCCACAAAACCGCCATAGTAATCATGGCCCGTTCTCAATGAGCTGTTGGGTACACCTCCCAGATGGGGTGGTGGCCGGGCAGAGGGGCTCCTCACTTCCCAGTAGGGGCGGCCGGGCAGAGGCGCCCCTCACCTCCCGGGCAGGGCGGCTGGCCGGGCGGGGGCCTGACCCCCCCCACCTCCCTCCCGGACGGGGCGGCTGGCCAGGCGGGGCGGCTGACCCCCCCACCTCCCTCCCGGACGGGGCGGCTGGCCGGGCAGAGGGGCTCCTCCCTTCCCAGTAGGGGCGGCCGGGCAGAGGCGCCCCTCACCTCCCGGACGGGGCGGCTGGCCGGGCGGGGGGCTGACCCCCCCACCTCCCTCCCGGACGGGGCGGCTGGCCTGGCGGGGGCTGACCCCTACCTCCCTCCCGGACGGGGTGGCAGCTGGGTGGAGACGCTCCTCACTTCCCAGATGGGGTGGCTGCCGGGCGGAGGGGCTCCTCACTTCTCAGACGGGGCGGCTGCCGGGCAGAGGGGCTCCTCACTTCTCAGACTGGGCGGTTGCCAGGTGGAGGGTCTCCTCACTTCTCAGACAGGGCGGCCGGGCAGAGACACTCCTCACCTCCCAGACGGGGTCGCGGCCGGGTAGAGGCACTCCTCACATCCCAGATGGGGCGGTGGGGCAGAGGCGCTCCCCACATCTCAGACGATGGGCGGCCGGGCAGAGACGCTCCTCACTTCCTAGATGGGATGGCGGCCGGGAAGAGGCGCTCCTCACTTCCTAGTTGGGATGGCGGCCGGGCAGAGATGCTCCTCACTTTCCAGACTGGGCAGCCAGGCAGAGGGGCTCCTCACTTCCCAGACGATGGGCGGCCAGGCAGAGACGCTCCTCACTTCCCAGACGGGGTGGCGGCCGGGCAGAGGCTGCAATCTCGGCACTTTGGGAGGCCAAGGCAGGCGGCTGGGAGGTGGAGGTTGTAGCCAGCCGAGATCACGCCACTGCACTCCAGCCTGGGCACCATTGAGCACTGAGTGAACCAGACTCCATCTGCAATCCCGGCACCTCAGGAGGCCAAGGCTGGCAGATCACTCGCGGTTAGGAGCTGGAGACCAGCCCGGCCAACACGGTGAAACCCCGTCTCCACCAAAAAAATACGAAAACCAGTCAGGCGTGGCGGCACGCGCCTGCAGTCGCAGGCACTCGGTAGGCTGAGGCAGGAGAATCAGGCAGGGAGGTTGCAGTGAGCCGAGATGGCAGCAGTACAGTCCAGCTTCGGCTCGGCATCAGAGGGAGACTGTGGAAAGAGAGGGAGAGGGAGACCGTGGGGAGAGGGAGAGGGAGAGGGCAGGGAGAGGGAGAGGGAGAGGGCAGGGAGAGGGAGAGGGAGAGGGAAGCCTGTGCATTTTTAATGCCACATTTCTGAAAAAGCTGTCCCCTCATTTGGCAATATATGTCCTCCTCTAATTTACTTGCCTCTTTACCGTAAATTAAATATATACTGTAGCTCTTCCTACTTTCCTCTTCCCCAGCACAGGGTTTTCTAAAGGGTATAACACAGGCATTGTTCTTCTGAAATGCTCTGAAACACTTTGCATGATCAAGTATGTTTCGAAAACATTCCACTTCTCTTGGTGAACTAGAAAGCTTGTTAGCATTTTAAAGGCTCTGAAAAGTCCTGCAGTCATCTGCTGAGCTTCATTCAACTCAGGGTTTTCCTAAAGCAATTATCCACAAAATCTGCTTTTCCCTTCACCAAGCACTGAAGGATTTGGAATTTTCTGGGAGACATTGCCAGGGAACATTGCACCTGGCATGTTTTTCTGTGCTCACTGGTTTTATGGGTATAGAAAGAGTATTTCCTCCTTCCAGACCAAAGTCTCCTCTGGGCATCCAGACCCTCACTGGGCCTTGGTGAACAAGGTTTTGCTTGAACAAATGATGGGCAAATGTGGGAGTTAATACTGTGCCCTTGGAAATGATGGGAGAGCTCTTGACTTGGCTCCCATTCTTTTCAGCCCCCAGCCTGGCTGCCACTCGTGCCTTGTCCTGGCTGGCCAGTGAGTACTTTTCTCATACCCCACCCATTTCACAGATGAGGAAAGTGAGGCCCCACAGACAGGTGCTAGATGAGGAGACTCAGTGCCTCTCTTGCAGAATGTAGGGATTTTTGTAAAGCAGGGAGAGTATGGGTTTGCATTCCAGCAGGCCTGGCTTGGCATCCTGGTTTATCCACTTACCAGCTGTGTAACTTAAGGCTGCTTACCTCTCCTCTCTGAACTTCATTTTTTCTCATGTTTACAACAGAGAGACTAATGATGGTTGAAGGAGAGCCAGTGAGTAACACAGCTAATGGATGCCTGGCTGCACGCCAGGCTTGGATAGGTAGGGTGATTTGGATGGCATGCCCATGCACTGTTGTTTACCCCCTCAGCCTGTCAGCCTTGAGTAAGCTCAGCTCAGTGCACCACAGGAAGGCGTAATTGGCCATTGGTTCGATCCAGGTCAAGTCCTTTGATAGCACACTCCAATACAAAGCCACCCATGGACAGAGAGCTGTCTGAGTGGGGCCACAGCTGACGAACTCTCAGCCACATCCTCTACAAAACCACCCAGCTGCAGCCAGAGAGAGGCACTCCCTTAGTCCCCTGCAGGTAGCAAAGGGATGAGTTTTATAAGACTACAGGAGGATGGGCAGGGAGTCGGGCCTGGCTCGGCCAGAACTAACTGCTTCTGTGGGCTTGGACATGGGTCTTGCCCTATCTGGGCCTCTGTTTCCTCTTCTGTTAACCTGGGGCACTGGACTTACATTCTGTTTCTTCCCCTTTCAGTCCTAGAATCTGATCTTGCTTCTGTGATTTCGAGAGGTCAGGAAGCGACAGTTTGATGGACATTCTGAAGGCCTTGGGTTCTCATCCCAGCTCTGTGACCTTGGGCATTTATGCATGAATTTACTGTCATGCCAGGTGCTGGAGATACTAAAAAGGACAAGACAGGATCATCACTGCAGCATCAGTGAGCCCCCTGGGGGAGGAGATGTGCAAATGGCCACCCTGTGGGGTGGAGGGCGGCACTAGGCACCAGAGGAGTCATGTGGTGGGCCTGGAAGGCCGGGCCGGACTGGTCAGGGAAGGCTTTGCGGACACCTCGGGGAGCCGACACCTAGAGGAGGTGGTGGAGGTGTGGGGGCCAGAGGAAGTCGCTCCAGGCTGAAGGCACAGCTTGTGCAGAGGATGGTGGCATGGAAGGGCCCAGTGTGTGTCGTTATCCCCTCTGCTCCTGGGACCCCAGGAGCTCCTTCCTGGGCTTATGTTCTGTGGCATGTGAATTGTGGGGGCTTGGATGTGGAATGAGGTGCTCCCCAGCCCTGAGCTGACAGGGAGTGTGGTGTGGTTGCGCAGATGGGGTTCTGGGACGAAAGTTCCTGAGCACAAATCCCAGCCCTGTGAATTTCTAGCTGCCAGGCTCTGAGTGCATCACCTCCCAGGCGGTGCCCTCAATTTCTCCTCTGCCTGGTGGGGATGTCGGTGGTGTCTGGTTTATAGCATCGAGCAAGTTAAGCTTACAGAGCACTTAGAGCCATTTCTGGAAGGCAGTAAATGCTCAATAAACATTAACTGCCCCTCCCTATTTTAAAAATGAAGAAAAATGAAGGTCTGAGGGAGTCAGCAAGCTGTCTAGAGAGACATAGCCCAGATGCTTGCAGGTCCAGCCTTGCCCTCCCTCCCCTCCACTTCCCTCACTGTCTCTCACTTTTCCCTCCCTTCCTCTCTCCTTTCTTTCCTCCCTCCCTCTAACTCTTGCACTTCATCCCCTCAACTCCCCCAGCCAACTTCTGAAAGGCCTCCAAATGCCTGGGACCTGCTGCAAAGCTCTTTGATCTGACCAGACCGCCGGCGCCTCTGGCTGCTTGGCACCCTGAGTGAACCCTCTGCCCCCCACTTTGGGGCCTGTGCTGAGGCCTAGGGCAGAGTCTGGGCCTGGTATCTATTCTACCACCCCTCCAACCACTCCCTGCCTGTCCTCTGCCCCCATGCTCCAGACCGCTTCCGGAGGGAAAGCAGCACCTGGGATCTGTCTTCAGAGACAAGCAGCTTCCAGGCCTCCCCACAGGGTAGACTGATATTGGCTCCCTCCCACTGAAAATGAATGGCTGTCACACAGCCGGGTCACCCCAGAACCCCAGCGACTGTGGGCTTCCTGCCCACCCATGGGAGGCTCTTTGGGGCCAGTTTCTGAGCCTGGTAAACACAAGCCTCCTCTCCCTCCTCCACGGAGAGCTGAGAACAATTGCCCACTCTGAACCTGAAAGCCGGTGGAGGCCCGCTCTAATGAGTGTGCAGCTTTCGCTGCCCTCAGAAATCAGGCGCTGGCTCTGGGCACTCGGCAGCCAGATGATTGAAAGCCCAGTAGGGCTCCCAGCCCTCCCCCACCCCCACTCTCTTTTTTGTGTGTTGTCTGCATCACTGCCCAGACCAATCTCTCTTCATGCTGAATTTTTTAAAGCCAAATTGGAAAAAAATTGGAAGTAGCCTGCATGCTATTCCCCCTGGGCTCCAAATGGGCTCTCCAGTTAGGGGAACAAAATACACCATTTTAATTTATAATAATAATAATTATTATTATCATTATCCATAACAATAACAATACCAATAATCCCATGCATGGGTAGGCCAATGTACAGCGCATAAAGTGCTTTTCCAGCTGTGATTTCATTTGGGCCTCGCCCCCCTGTGAACCTGCTCCCGCCCCACCCCCCCCACCCCCTTTGTCTGTAATCCGAGCAGGCCAATTGCCTGGTGACTCTCAGCTGGGGTGGGAAGGCCAGCCTCAGGCTCCCAGGCCCTGCTTTTCCCATGTCCTCTCGAAGGGATCACATTAGCAACACATTTTTTAGCAGACATGGCAGAGCACCTGCTCCGGGAAGGGGGCCGGACCTGTCAGGAGAAGACAGGACTTTGCAGTCACTGGCCTCCAGTGAGATGATAGAGAAAGGCCAGATAATCTCAACTCCACACTATAAGGGCTATGCATGGCCTTTGGGAGACTCTGGGCTCAAAAGTTGAAGTCAGCTTGAGGAACGCCTCAAAAGCCATTTCATCAAATGTGGATCACATTACAGACATCACAGTTTCAACTTGTCATTGAATCGTAACATACGTACAGAAAAATACAAAAAGCATGAGGGTACAACTCAATTACTTTTCTCAAACAGAACACACTCATATAAGCAGCCCAAGACTAAGAAATGGAAGCCCCCCTTATTCTCCCTTCTAATCACTCCTCCCAACCAGGGTGACCACCATCCCAACATGAAACAACATAGATTAATGCTGCTGCTTTTTGTATTTGTATGACTGGAATCATCCACACTATGCAATCTTTTGTGTCTGGTTTCTTTTGTTCGATGTTATGATGTGATATTCACTATCATTGGATACTGTTGCAGATTTTTCATTTCACTGCTCTGTGATATTTCACTGTATGAAGATAGTGAAATTTAGGTATCCATTTATCGTGGTGAACATTTGGATGGTTTCAAGTTTTCAGTTATTATGAATAAAGCTGTTTATGAACATTCTTGTACATGCTGGTTTTTTTTGTACTTGTGTACACATTTCTGATGAGCAAAAACTGAGGTGTGGAAACATGGAATCATTGCATATGAGTAAGTACATGCAGCTTTAGGAGCTATTGACAAACAGTTTCCCAAAGTGGTTGCACCAGTTTATATTACTGGTTTTTAGGGTCTATGTGGCAGTACCTCCAATTCCATGAATCTATAGATCCTTGGATGATCTGATGGAAGCTGCAGAATTTCGCCCCAGAAATACAATTCTGCATGTGATTTCTGTAAATTTATGAGCCCTGTGAACTCAACCAGGTCCAAGGATTCCTATGAGGTCTCTTTTTCTGATCTCCAAATTCTGAGGTATGTTGTCCACATTTTGATTCTGGGTTTTAAATTCTTTGACTGGATGGAAGACTTAGAACTTAACAGGGCTGGGTGCGGTGGCTCGTGCCTGTAATACCAACACTTTGGGAGGCCAAGGTGGGCAGGTCACCCTGAGGTCAGGAGTTTAAGACCAGCCTGGCCAACATGGCAAAACCCCGTCTCTACTAAAAATACAAAAAATTAGCCGTGTGTGGTGGCACGCGCCTATAGTCCCAGCTACTCAGGAGGCTGAGGTAGGACAATCGCTTGAATCTGGGAGGCAGAGGTTGCAGTGAACTGAGATCGTACCTTTGCACCCCAGCCTGGTGACAGAGTGAGAAAAGAAAAAAAAAAAAAAAAAGAACTTAACAGAGCACCAGCAAAGCAGGGGCACCAAAAACAAAACAATTTTAAAGAAAAATATTTTTGAAAGAATTTTATAATTTCACAGAAAGCATGGACATATTCGTCAAAGGAAAACTTATGATGTTGTTGGATGTCCTTACACATACCTAACAGATTAGAGTTAATTCACTTTACGTTATATATGGGAGGCACATAATCTTTTCAAGGCAAAGTGCTTTTAAATGCCTTCACCTGGCCCTGGTGATCCCATCAGTGATGCATAAATTGCATCTGGTCAGTGATTACCCCATGCTGCACTGGGGCATCTGTGCAGTGAGGGGTCCCTGGCTGCTAAGGGCTCCCTGTCCCATTGGATCCTCACTACAACCCTGCCAGGTGGCTGGGCTGTGTGTCACCAAGCACATGGGCAACACAGCTTACTGTAAGGGAAATGAGGGCCAAATGGGTCAGTCATCGAGAAGCCTCTGCAGGTGAGTGGTGGCTGTAGGAACTGGGCTTCTGGTTTAAGAACAGGGACGTGGAAGGTGTGGGAGTGGAAAGGTGCCTCCATCTTTCTGCAAAGCAGCACAGATGAAGAGGGAGCTCACTGAAGGATAGTGCTGGGATGGATGGTAGAAACTCTATGAAGATAGGTTTCTGTTTGATGTGAGAAAACATCCAAGTGTTCAACTGTGTAATGATGGAAGCCGAGTGTTTGAGGGGTAGTGAGATCCTTGTCCCTAGAAGCATGTAAGCTGATGCTGGATGGTCACTTGACGGGGACGTTGATGAACTAAACGATCTAGGTTTCCTTCAACCCTAAGCTTGGCCATCCTCAGAATCTAGGTCTCCTGACCCTACCACATGCTCTTTCCTCCTCGCCGCTGACCTGATGGAGTGCAGTTTGCACAGTGCACTGGCCCAGCCTGGGCAGCAGGCAGGAGCCTGCATGAAATAACGTATGCTGCAGTCAGAGTGACAGAGTGTCTGTAGAAAGCATTCAAGATCTCCCAGGAGCTGTGACTCGTATGAGCAGGTCTCTGTGGATTCAGGCAAATATTTTCCATTTCATAAAATGTGGTACAATGTTACCTCTGTGTTCTTTGAAAAACTGGCATGGGGGAGGAAGTGTTAACTCAATGGCCTTGTTCCCTGAGCGCTGGTGGCCGCCTGCCTTGGCAGTTTCCTTGGGGCCTCCCACCCCACTGGGCCCCATCATGGGAGAGCTGGATGAGCCCACTGCTGCTGGTCCATGGTCAGGGGTGGGTGCAGACGATCCCTGACCACCTGAAGGAGAAATAGAATGCAGAGCATGACTGGAACCCTAGGAAGGAAGAACTCTGTTCTGTTACCATTTCTGCTATGGCCCCCTCAGCCATGCCCCTCCCTTCATCATCATTCCCTCTGCCCTCTGCCGGGACTAGTGCAGTAGTCTCTTCCCGGAGCTCACCTCCTCCAGTCTCTCCTTATTCTGAGCCAAGAATGCCACATGCTTGGCATGGGTAACATGATGCCCACTCCCTTGCCCCTACAGACTTTACCATCAGTCTCAGGACTCCTCGCAGAGAGCCTCTAATAAATGATTAATTCACCTGAGTGGGCAGTGACGGGGAAACTGATTTGCCAAATGTATCTCCTCCATGCTTTTGACAGAGCACCCTTTCAAAGAACAGAGCAGAGCTCAGATGACATCATTCCTCCCTGCCTCCCCGCCTCCTACTTCTCATCAGAAGCACGCACGAAAATAGCTTTCCATGTTTCTCATGGTGCTTCATAG